>NC_000005.10:91624958-91927988 GCF_000001405.40 Homo sapiens | reverse complement strand
AAAAAAAAAAACGCATGAAGAAATAATTTGGGTTTTGGCTTACATATTTAATTTTACAGGAAAACATCCTGTAAAATTACAAAATATTCATTTAATACAAAATACTCAATTAAAAAAGTTTAAAGTTCATGCATTTGTGTTTTCTTTCTCCTTTCTGGATTGTCTTAACTAACCGTTCTACTAGTATGGAGAGGTCTAATAATGCTGGGATAGATATAAAAGTAAAATTATTAATGGAAGTAGAGATTAAGCATATCTGTAGCTTATATCATTTATTTAGTTTACATTATTTAGTGAAATAAAATAACAAAAATTATTTTAATAATTTAATAAAATAATTTAAATAAAATAATTTAAAATAATAATTTAATAAAATAACAAAAATAATTAAAAACCTGAGCAGCAAAAGTCATTCAACTATATTTACATATAAGTCGGTTAATATCTAAGATAATTGAATTTTTAAAACTGGAGAATTTATATTCTCTAAAAGTATGTTGAAATAATGCATATACCTACTAGATAATTGTGTTGACAATGTGAACTTGGGTGTGGAGAACAGGCATTTATATGTTAATACCTACAAGCAATATTTTTCATTAAGAATATAAAAGCATTAGAGTTTGTTTTTGTAGGCACCCATTATTTTGTCTCATACGTTCTTTTTCTAAATGCTTAAGATCTCATTTTTGATTTACTACTCTGTAAATTATTAATAAGCAAACAAGCATATCAAATACATAAATTATATAATATTTTAAAGGATACTTGATTGGTATAATTTCTTTGTTGTTAAATTTTGGACAATATCTTTTCCTACCTTTGCTAATGAATGGTAACCTGCAAAATTGTAGAGGCTAAAAATTATTGTAGCCAACTCTTGAACTTTGTTACAATATAAGTACTCTAGAAGAAGTTTACAGCTGATTTTCAAAAGAATTAGAAAATTCTACCACTCTTTCAGATTTAGGTGGGAATTTATTATAAAAACAATAGGTGTAGAACAGAATTGAAAAAATACAATTATATAAACACATACTTTTAATTTTTTTATTTATTAGAGAAATGCTGACATGCATTTTAATGCATCTAATTTCTAGAACATGTAGAGTGCATTTATACTCATTCATCCTCCCTTAAACGCACTGATGCTTTATTTGAGTGTCTACATATAAAATATAAATAACTCCTATATATGAGTTTTTTAAAGCAGATCTTCATTCCCACATATTTAGAGTCAAAAGTTCTGACTTGCAGCCGAATAATTATTTTAAATAACTCAAAGTAGTACTGATGCAGAATTCTGAAGCCCCACTTGAGAAATTTGAATTTCCTTCTCTGAGTCACCTAAAGGCACAGATTCTTAATAAACCAATATTTCCCAAACAATCATTCATCTTATACTTAGGCATTTTCCCGAATAATGACCACTGTGGAAATCCTTCTGTTGTATTTTCCATGTGGCCAGCTAACAACTTCTCTTCCCAGTCTAAGATACTTTATATTGTTTCTTTTCTTATAAATAAGTGCAAGTTTGTGTGTAAGATTATTTATTCCTATTTGTTTCCCTGTGTCTCTTTCTCTTCCCTTCTCAGCTATTGCTATATGTGGCTACTTGTCTTGCTTTTTTACAGCAAATAAATGTATTATGACTCTCTTATGGAGCACTGAACACAAGTTCAAATTCTGGATATGCCATTTTGTCACAAGGGAAGATGGTGAGTTTCCTGAACTCTCTCAGCCTCAAAGTTGTGCTGCACATCAAATCAATATGTGTATGCTAAGTGAAAATATCCTTCCTAATTTCATTACAAATCTGGCTATGAGATAGATAAAAATGTGTCTTGCTTTTCTGAACACTACTGTAGTAAGTGCTGTTTGGCTTTTGTCGATCTTAAATCTATAGGTCTTGAAAACTCTTCATCCCAAGGGCACTGATTTCCTTCTAATTTCAAAATTATGTAGTCTGGTAGCATTTGACTCATCCTTTCTTAAAATTCTCTTTCTCTTGACTTCTGTGATTCTACTCTGTCCCAGTTTTTTATTTTCAACCCTAAAAGGTTTTTGCTAGTCTCCTCATTCTCTTACTTTATCCCAGGTTTCTATTCTTATCTTTATGCTGCTGTTTTTCTTGAATGGGTTTTTTCCAAATACAGAACCCCTCTCCCAGAGTGGAATATCTATCCCAGATTTCTTGCTTGACTTTTAGCCTTATAAAATTTCCACTAATCCTCTCCATTTGTATGTGGGTCAGACATCTGATTTACTAAATTCTTTATATCCTCCCATCTTTCCTTTTGTGTTTCCAATGCCTGTGAATGGCCCCGACAACTATCCATTGCAGGCATAATCCTAGACTCTTCCTTTTCAATTACCCTCCATGTTAGTCAAGCTTCTCCAGAGAAACAGGACCAACAGAATATATAAAGAGAAAGATTTATTTTAAGGAATTTGCTCACATGATTGGGAAATCCTGACAAGTCCAAAGTCTTCAGAGTAGGCCAGCAGGCTGGAGACCCGGGGAAGCATTGCAATTCAGGTTCAAAGGCTTGCTGGCAGTATTCCCTCTTCTTCCAGGGAGGTCAGTCTTTTTCTATTAAGGCCCTCAGTTCATTGGATGATGCCCATCCACATTATGCAACCTAAGTAACCTCATAATGTAAGCAGGGTAATCTGCTCTACTAAAAATCTGTTGATTTAAATTTTAATCTCACCTAAGAACTACCTTAACAGAAACATCTAACATAATGTTTGACCAAATATCTCGGTACCTTAACCTAGACAAGGGGACACATAAAATCAACCATCAGAATTTCTCACCACAAAATTGATTAGCATTCCTTTTCTATTTTACTTTTTTTTCTTAGTTTTTTGAAACAGGACCTTGCTCTGCCACCCAGGCTGGAGTGCAGTGGTATGATCACAGCTCACTGCAGCCTTGACCTTTTGGGCTTATGCCATCCTACTGCCTCAACCTCCAGAAGGGAGCTGGAACTAAAGGCATGAGCCACCATGCCTGGCCTCTATTTTACTTCTTAATATCTATGGACTTTATTGACTGTCTCCATCCCCTCTCTACCGCTTTATGTCCAGGCTATTAGCTCCTGCTTTTACTATTACAATAGTCTCTTAACTCTCTAACTCTAACTTTTCCTTCCTAATTCATTCTCTATACCAACTGGAATGACCACTGGAATAGTCGTTCTAAAATACAATATTCTGATTATGTAAATACCATGCTTTAAATTGTTAAATAGTTTCCCTTCACTTTCTGTCTACTCCAACTTCATCAGCATAAAATATTAGTTCCTCAAGATACAATTGCTGAATTTTTTCATCCTTTCCTCCTACCACTATTTCATATTCCCAATGCTCCAAATATACTAAATTATCTGTAGTTCAATGGACGGTCCATGCATCCACGCATTTACAAATGCTATTCCCTTTATTTAGACTATTTCTTCAATGCTTCTTTGAATTGGCCAGGAATTATTTATGTTTTATGACTCTGAACAATCACTAACTTCTTTGGTGTCATAGGGATCAGACAGCAATTGACTTGTTGCATTACAGAAGCAGCCAGTGTTATATTATTAACTTAATTAATACATGCGAAATACTTAGAACAGAGTCCAGCATACAGCAAGTGTTCTACTACTATTAGCTGGTACTATTATTTTTAGTTGACAAAAATTGTCTGTATTTATAGTGTACAACATATGTTTTAATGTATACATACACATTTTGGAGTGACAGAATCAAGCTAATTAACATATGCATTACCTCACATACTTATTTTTGGGGGATGAAAACACTTAAAATCTACTCAGTAATTTTTAAGTTATACAATACATTGTTATTATCTATATTCACCATAAGGGACAATAGATCTCTTGAAATTTTTTTATTTAACTGAAATTATTAATATATCTTTTGATCAACATCTCCCAACCCCTCACCACCACCCCCTCCCATTGGTAACTACCATTTTACTCTTTGTTTCTAGGAGTTTGACGTTTTTACACTCCACATATAAGTAAGATCATGCAGCATTTATTTTCCTGTGCCTGGCTTATTTCACTTAACATATTGTCCTCCAGGTTCATCCATGTTGTTGCAAATGACAGGATTTTCTTTTTTTTTTTAAGGCTGAATGGTATTCTATTATGTATATGTACCACATTTTATTTATCTTTTCATCCACTGATAGATACAGGTTGATTCCATATCTTGGCTATTGTGAATAATACTGCAATGAACATAAGAGTGCTGCTATCTCTCCAACATACTGATTTCATATCCTTTGGACATATATCTAGAAGTGGGATTGCTGGATCATATGGTAGTTCTATTTTTAAGTTTTTGAAGAACCTCCATACTGTTTTCCATAACGGATGTACTAATTTACATTCTCATCAGTGGTGTACAAGGGATCCTGTTTCTCCACATCCTCGCCAACACTTGTTAACTTTTGCTGTTTAATAATAGTCATTCTTACAGGTGTGAGGTTGTATCTTCTTGTGGTTTTGATTTGCAATTTCTGATAATTAGTGATGTTGAGCATTCTTTTAATCTACCTGTTGACCACTTGTATATCTTTTTTAAAAGTGTCTATTTCGTTTCCTTGGCCATTTTTAAAATCAGATTACTTGTTTTCTTATAATTGTATTGTTTGAGTGTTTTAAATATTCTGAATGTTAACCCCTTATCAGAGGTATGGTTTACAAATTCATTTTTCGATTCCATAAGTTGTCTTTTCACTCTGTTGGCTGTTTCTTTTACTGTGCAGAAGTTTTTAGTTTGATGTAATCCTATTTGTCTGTTTTTAGCTGGTATTATTGTTAATAGTAATAATAGTATTTATAGCACTCAAATTAAATTGTAATTGTTGGCTGATTTGTCCATTGCTCCAATAAATACTTTAAAAGTTAATAATTTGTAACTCCCTAGATCCTACCACAGTGCCTGACACATAGAAACAATAAATACATCATTGAATCAATTAAAGAACTCCCTAGTATTGCAAATATATAGTGTCTTCTGAAAAACCAACAAACAAAAACTTTTGTATGAAAAAAGTTCAGTTCCAATACCAGATATCTTAGACTTCAAACAAGATTAGGTAGATTTCTCAATGTTATTTTACTGAGAAACTTCATAAAAGTAAATCAGAATTCACAGATATTTGTGGAGTTTTTGACATTATCGTTTGCCAGTCCTACGTGTGTGTGTGTGTGTGTGTGTGTGTGTGTGTGTGTAATATGTGCTGTTTCTATTATGAAGAATATTTCAGGAAACGGCTACTGAATAAAATGTTACTAAAATAATCTCAGTCTTTTTCCTGAACTTTCTAGGTAATTGTGGATCGCTTTACTTAAAAATATACAATTTTCTTTCCATCTTATAGCACCACATGTTACCTTTATGGAAATCTTCTTGTCTTTTATAATTTGTCAATCTTTTTGCCATTTTATTCTCCTTAAAAAAATCCTTAAAGAGTTAAAGTTTATCTTCATGTGTGTTACCCAACTCTGCCCTATGCTAAATGCTTAAGAAGACAGTTAGTAATAAGTGAAACATAGCTGCCAGCTTTAAATTTTTTATTTAAAAAATGAGAATATCATTTAAATATGGCAATGCATTTATTTCTCTTGTAATTATAAAAATCCGGACTTTCTTTACAATTTATTTACAAAGAAGTGACTTTTAAGATTACATAAAGGACACAAATGCATTTAAATCTTTCTCAAAATTTCCAACTTAGTTTATGTAATTTGTAAATAATAGAATAGTCTATTCCAATGACTCTCACCCCTGCCTGCACAGGAGAATCACCTGGGAAGCTTGTAAAAGTTACTGTTTTGCTTTTACCCCCAGGGATTTAGTTCCTCTCAGGTTGAAAATGAGGTGAGTTCTTTTTCCTTTGAAACTTGCCAGTTGATTTTAATGTGTGTAGCCATGGTTGAGAACAAATAAGGTAGGCTGTTTTTCATTCTTATATAAGGTTAAATAGTTATAGGAATACTATTCAAATGATGATTTGTAGATCTTTCTTGGTCCTCAGACATATTCTTGGAGATAATCTGTCTTCAAAAAATTTTACCTTGTGCTTTTTTAATGAAAAATATATAAACACAAATTAATATATGCATATTTTGGATTAGGTATATAACCAGTACTGCCATAAAACATTTAGTTTTGCATTACATTTGGTTTACTATACTGTCATATACTGTCAGTTCCAAGTAATTATATGCTAATTAGAGTCTAATGAGAAAAATAATAGTGGTAGAACTGGCATACAAACAACATATTCACATAAATCCACAGTCCTCAACCTTGACTGGACACCTTGACTCATCATTAGGCTCAGCTGGGGACATTTAAAACATCCCAGGACTCAGGCCACATCTAGGGCAATTACCCAGTATCTTTGCAGGTGAGGCCCAGTCATTAATATTCTTGAAAGTTCCCTGGGTTAGGCTGGTATGGGGCTAAGCTTGAGAAACACTGCTCTAAGCAAAGTCAAATGAGGTGCACACATTCATGTTAGTTACAACTGAAAATGGAGTCTTCATCCCACATTTTGGTAATACAGGATGGCCACCTTCAAAATAATTTGTGCCATAATAATCAGTATTATATATTTAGTTTGTAAATAATTATTTGAATTGTAAATGTTTACCTACGTTAATGAGTTGAATTGTTTTGGTTTTATAGTTGTTTTTATTTTAATTTATGTTTATTTTGGCTTTGTAGTTATAAACAAGTTAGTTTATTCCTTGTTTTATCTTTACTCATATTTAGATAGCATAATAAAAACTTTCAGTCAATTGTAAAGATCTGTAGATTATTTTTAAGAGAATTGAATCACAAATCAAGTTTGACAAAATATATCTATAGCCACAGCTATAGAATCCTATATTAAACAGCAAAAGTGAATGTGTATCATGACATCTTTTAAAAATAAAAAGAATATTATAACTGATAAAGAGTTTCATTTTGAGATAATGCAAAGTTCAAAAGATGGATAATGGTGATGGTTGCACAAGTACTTAATATCACTGAATTGTACACTTAAAAAAGTTAATAAGCTAAATTTTACATTATGTAAATTTTACCACAATAAAAATTAAATAAGAAAGTGTATATTCATATTCTCTGCTTGTTTTTGGTTTGCTTGTATATTTTTCAGTTTTAAAAGCTCTTTATATGTTCTGATATGTTTTTCAGATATGTGATTTGCAAATATTTTCTCGAATATTTTCTCTCAATTTATCAAGTATTACTAGAAGAGGGATTTTTTAAAAAATGGTAAAGGATTGATGTAGCAAAAAGATGTAACACGTTTTGCAGCTAATTAATAGCGTCAAAATATATAAAGAAAAAACTGACATAATAAAAAGGACAAGCATACTAATCCAAAATTATAGTTAGAAATGTAAAAACTTCAATCTTGCTATTAAACTTTTGGTATGAAACAATAAATCAACTTAGAGAAAAATTTCTAACTTTAATGCATATGTTAGTGGAAAAGAAAGACTAAAAAATCAGTTATCTATTCAAGAAATTAGAAAAGAAGAGCAAATTAAACTCACAGGATGTAGAGGAAAGAAAATAACAAAAGACCAAGAGCTAATAAAGTAGGAAACATATTAACAGAAAAGATTTTTAAATCTTTTAAACTTACTTATTTGGAAAGATCAAGAAAACAAAAATACTAATCAAAGGGAATAAAGAAATCATAAATAACTAATATCAAGAATGAAAAGGAAAATATCACCACATATTCTAGAAGCATTAAAAAAAAGATAACAAAAGGGTATTTTGACCAGTGATATGCTAATAATTTTGAAGACACAACTTACCAAAACTCAAAAATAGATATCTGACTGGCATTATATCCATTAATAAACTGAATTTCTAAAGAATAACCTACTTACAAAAAGAACCTTAGACATAGATTGTTTCACTTGTAAAATTTCCAAATATATAAAAAGAAACACGCCAATTTTAAACAAATCCTTCCAAAGAATAGGAAACACCTCTAAGTATTTTATGAGGTCAGCATGATTTTACAACCAAACATGGAAAGAATATTATAAGAAAAAAAATTACAGGCCAATTTCTTTTGTGAAATGGATCCTAAATAAACAAAATAACAGAAATTAAAATCTAGTGATATATTTAAAGAATTACACATCTGGACCAAGTTGGTTCTATTTAAAGAATGCAAGGTGGGTGTCGTATTAGAAAATAAATATGTGCACTAGGAAATAAAGAAGAAAGTTTATATAATCATCTGAATAAATACAAAAAGGTTGATAGTTAAAATTTTTCACCTCGTCAAGATAAAAACAACAAAAATGGAATACACTAATTTAGAAGATGCTTCATATATATGTATACATATGACATAAGATACATAGCCAGAACATATGTACATTCCTAAAACATTACACCGGTACCCATCCATGGCCTGCTAGAAACCGGGCCACACAGCACGAGGTGAGCTGCACAGGAGTGTGCATTACCACCTGAGCTCTGCCTCCAGTCACATCAGCAGCAGCATTAGATTCTCACGGGAGCACAAACCCCATTGGGAATTGCTACTGCGAGTGATGTAGCTTGCTTGCTCCTTAGGAGAATCTAATGCCTCTGAAACCACCCCACCACCCACACCATCTCCACCCCCCCACCCAGTCTGTGGAAAAAAAATCTTCCACAAAATCAGTCTCTGATGCCAAAAAGGGTGAGAGAATCATTGTTATAGAACATTATAGAACAAAGAAAATAAACTACAAATATTAATCTAACGAAGATAATGTTGAATGAAAGAAGCCAGAAAGAAATAAACGCATATTTTAAAATTCTATTTATAGAAGTGAGGTTTCCAAATAGAAAAGAAAGAATGTTCTGAAATCTGCTCTTCCGTAAAAGCAATAAGAACACTAGCAAAAATCATCAAGTTCAACTTCTTCAGAATTCTAGAAATTAACCAAAAGCCTACAAAATTTATGGAGCATTTATTCATCCAGTCTCCTTTTTTAAGTAGTATATAATTTACATATGATAACATTCCCCAATTTTAAGTGTACAGCTTGAAGGCTTTTGTCAAATGCATACAGTACTATAACCACCACTGCATCATGATATAGATACCTATGTTCTGATTCTAATTATTTCTGATCGCCACTCTTGTTGAATTTCTATTTCTCAATTATTAACTTTCTAATTCTGTCAACTTTTTTTTTTTTTTTTTATGGAGTCTTGGTCTGTTGTGCAGGGTGGAGTACAATGGCGTGATCTCGGCTCACTGCAACCATCGCCTCCTGGGTTCAAGCGATTCTCCTGCCTTAGCCTCCCAAGGAGCTGGGACTACAGGCGGGTGCCACCACGCCCGGCTAATTTTTTTGTATTTTTAGTAGTGACGGGGTTTCACGGTGTTAGCCAGGATGGTCTTCATCTCCTGACCTGGTGATCCGCCTGCCTCGGCCTCCCAAAGTGCTGGTGTGTCCGGAATTGGTGGGTTCTTGGTCTCACTGACTTCAAGAATGAAGCCGCGGACCCTCGCAGTGAGTGTTACAGTTCTTAAAGGCGACATGTCTGGAGTTTGTTCCTTCTGATGTTCGGAGTTTCTTCCTTCTGGTGGGTTCCTGGTCTCGCTGGCTCAGGAGTGAAGCTGCGGACCTTCGCGGTGAGTGTTACAGCTCTTAAGGTGGTGCGTCTGGAGTTGTTCATTCCTTCCGGTGGGTTCCGTGGTCTCGCTGGCTTCAGGAGTCAAGCTGCAGACCTTCCCGGTGAGTGTTACAGCTCATAAAGGCAGTGTGGACCCAAAGAGTGACCAGTAGCAAGATTTATTGCAAAGAGCAAAAAAACAAAGCTTCCACAACCAAGAACTGGACCAGAGCCGCCCGCCACTGCTGGCCTGGGCAGCCTGCTTTTATTCTCTTATCTGGCCCCACCCACATTCTGCTGATTGGTCCATTTTACAGAGAGCAGAGTAGTCTGTTTTGACAGGGAGCTGATTGGTGTGTTTACAATCCCTGATCTAGACACAAAGGTTCTCCACATCCCCACTAGATTAGCTAGATACAGAGTGTCCACTGGTGCATTCACAAACCCTGAGCTAGACACAGGGTGCTGATTGGTGTGTTGACAAACCTTGAGCTAGATACAGAGTGCCGATTGGTGTATTTACAATCGCTTAGCTAGACATAAAGGTTCTCCAAGTCCCCACCAGACTCAGAAGCCCAGCTGGCTTCACCCAGTGGATCTCGCACCACGGCGGTCGCAGGTGGAGCTGCCTGCCAGTCCGAAGCCCTGGGCCCGCACTCCTCAGCCCTTGGGTGGTGGATGGGACTGGCCGCGTGGAGCAGGGGGCGGCGCCCATCGGGGAGGCTAGGGCCGCACGGGAGCCCACGGAGTGGGACAGGCTCAGGCATGGCGGGCTGCAGGTCCCGAGCCCTGCCCCACGGGGAGGCAGCTAAGGCCCGGTGAGAAAGCGAGTGCAGCGCCGCTGGGCCGGCACTGCTAGGGGACCCGGTAAACCCTCCACAGCTGCTGGCCCGGGTGCTAAGCCCCTCATTGCCCCGGGCGGCGGGGCCGGCCCGCCGCTCCCTGTGCGGGGCCTGCCAAGCCCACGCCCACCCGGAACTCGCGCTGGCCCGCAAGCGCCGCGTGCAGCCCCGGTTCCCGCCAGCACCTCTCCCTCCACACCTCCCCACAGCAAGATGAGGGAGCCGGCTCCGGCCTTGGCCAGCCCAGAAAGGGGCTCCCACAGTGCAGCGGCAGGCTGAAGGGCTCCAGTGCCGCCAAAGTGGGAGCCCAGGCAGAGGAGGCGCCCAGAACGAGTGAGGGCTGTGAGGACTGCCAGCAGGCTGTCACCTCTCACTGGGATTACAGGCGTGAGCCACAGTGCCCGACCCAACTCTTCATTTTTTAATCAGATCCTAACATCACTTTCATGGACTTAATGAAAACCTTCATCATTTGTATAACCTGAAATTTCGCCTTAGCTTTTGCAGCACAATATCATTAAACAAGCAAGATCCATGAAGTAAAAACATTAAAGAAACTTTATCACATTCTCACATTCCTCTTACATAATGTTGATGCGTGCACCATTTCTCCAACCCCCATTTCTGAATAACAATTCACGCAGGCCCCATGACTCCACTCATTGCTCCTGGGTAATAAGTCTAAATTCATAATTTAATCTAAAATTCCTAGATCCAGATAATAATCCAAACTTTAAACTTGATTTAAAATTAGTTCTTTCATTAGAGGCAAACTCCCATTACCTTTTAAAGGGGAAGGGAGAAAGGGTGTAAGTTCCTTCTTCTCTCTTTCCTCCTATGGTATTTCTACATGGCATTCCTATGCCACCTCTATTATAAGCAAGAGTTTCTACCATTTCCAATTAAGGCTAAAGCAAATAAAGTTCAGGGAGATGTGAAAAGAGCCAGGGGGCTTTGGGAGGCAAACATTTCTCCATTATTATTGCTATTATAAGATGGTTTCAATCTCTTTGGTACTGGGAAATGCTTAAATCAGACGCTTGTTCTGTTTTTTGGGGGATACCCTTCCTGGATTTCTCCAACTGTATGACACAATCATTGTTGTCCTTTGGCTTAGTGCTTAATAGTTCCCCTCAGCTTCTACACCTCCTTGTGCTTACCTGTCTTCACTATGGCAGAAGTCTATGCTGACCTCTCCTTCACCAACCCAGGCTGTTTTAGCCAGATCTTGCCCTTTAGCACTCTTTCCAATGTGAGTCAGACATCAGTTCACTGTGTCCTTTTGGGGCAAAAACAAAACAAAACAAAACCCCACATTTCAAGCTGTCCTTGGTGAAAACCCAAGGTGAGGAGCAGGCAAGCCCCTATCTATACTCATTTGTTTTGCACAATAAGAATCCCAACCATGATGTCTCCAAAGAAAGTATCTCCCAAGCTAGGCGCAGTGGTTCACTCCTACAATCCTAGCACTTTGGGAGGCCAAGGCAGATGAATCACTTGAGCCCAGGAGTTCGAGACCAGTCTGGGCAACATGGTGAAACCCCATCTCTACAAAAAATACAAAGATTTGGCCAGGGATGGTGGCATATGCCTGTAGTCCCAGCTACTCGGGAGGCTAGATGGGAGGATCACTTGAGCCCAGGAGGTCGAGGCTGCAGTGAACCAAGATTGTGCCACTGCACTCCAGCCTGGGTGACAAAACAAGAACTTGTCAAAAAAAAAAAAAATTCTTCAAATCCCTTTAAATTTCCTACAATTTGACCTCTTTAAGATCTTGATGTATATGAGTAATCTAACTGTTGTTGATCACCTACTTTAAATTTTTTAATCAAAATTGAGTGATATTTCCATTACAGAGATATACAACGTTTGACAATTAGAAAGACAGTGAACTATACAAATACTGAGGAAGACACTAGGGTTAAGGTTTGGGGAAAATGATTCAGTAGAAACTAATGTCAGAAATAATCAGTTTATTTGTAGGTTATGATGCTTTTCCTTTGATATCCACCTTTGTAATTGCAAAAATTTTGATATTAAAAACCCAAAAATTAAGGACAGACTGTATTTAAAGATTTATAAACATCAGGTTTGATAGTGCTTAATTCTTCATTAACTCTTCATTTGTCCATACCCTTTCCATACAAAATCCTCTCAAATCAAGGCAATTGATAACTTTCATGATACTGAGCCACATTCTCCCTTTACACCAATGCTTTACATAATCAGCCCTATGAATCCTGTAAAGGGAAAGGTATAATTTTAAATATGCAACCTTTTAAAACTTTCCTACCTCACTTGCCCAATTCTGAATTCTTCCCTATAATCCACTGAATGTGCTATTATTGGCCTAATTTTTCTAAAGCATAACTGTGATCTGATCATTACATCATTGAAATCTTTCAGTGGCTCCCTGTTGACTATAAAACAAAATTCTAATTTCCTGCCCTGGCATCAAGGTTCTCCATTCCGCTCTGTACCAGCTTACCATTCATCTGTAAACTTTCAATTCTCACAATCCTTGTGCACAAAACTTACATAACCACTCCCAGTTCTAAGTCTGTGCCCAATACATTCCAATATCTGTGGCTTTCTTTGTGTGATCCCCTCTGACTAGAATATCTGGTTTACATACACACCCACACACCATGCATGCATTCACCTCTGCATTTCTGAATTTTACCCACTCCTCAAAATCTAACTCACATGCCGACTACCTGGTATTTCCTGATTCTTCCATTAGCTCTATTCTCTCCTTTGTCTAAATTTCCAGTTTACCTTTATCTATTTTATGATATTTATTTTCTACCAGATTTGCTTTTTTTTACTTGTTTCTGTAGCTGCTTTGTGAAAGAGACTAAATTTTACGTATTCCTTTTTTCTCACATAGAATTTAAATTAGGACTTACACTGTGTCGTAGTCTGTTTTGTGTTGCTATAAAAGAATATCTGAGACTGGGTAATTTATGAAGAAAAGAGGTTCATTTAGCTCATGGTTCCGTAGGCTGAAGAGCTCAGGGGCATGGGCCTGGCTTCATGGGGTTTTTGTGCTATATCACAACACAACAGAGAAGGTCAAAGGGCAAGCAAACACCTGTGAAGAGTGACCAAAGCCAAAGGGTGTCCTAGCTTTATGACAACCCACTCTTGAAGGAGATAGCCCCTTCCTGAGAGAATAACCCCAGTCTCAGGGCAGCGAGAACTCACCCACTACCTTGAGAACAGAACCAAGCCATTCATGAGGGACCTGCCCCAAACACCTCCCACAAGCCTCCACCTCCCAACACCTCCACATGGGGGACCAAATTTTAGCATGAGTGTTGTGGGGAGACAAAGAAATATTCAAATCATAGCACACAGATAACCATGCAATTTTATATATATATATATATATATATATATATATATATATATATAGTCTTCCTTTGGTATACATGAAAGATTGGTTCCAGGACCCCCACACACATCAAAATCCAACTATACTCAAATCCCATAGCCCTACAGAATTTGCAGATGTAAAAGTAAGCCCTCCATATACACTGGTTCTGCATCTGTCCAATACTGTATTTTGATCTGCATTTGGTTGAAAAAATTTCACAATAAGTGGACCCACGTAGTTCAAACAATGTTGTTCAAGGATCAACTGTATATAGTAGCAGTTTCTATGTATTTGCCATATATTGCCCTGCAATAAACTTTGACTATGCATACCTCTCAAAGCAAGAGAAGACAAAACTTATCATCTTAAACAACCTGTCATTGGGATTTCGGCTTAAAATCCGTATGCATTTGTATTCTCCCAAGTAACAGAATAAGTCTACTGCTATTGCAGAGAAGAAAGCAAAATGCCTAACTTTGAAAGGACTATACACTAACTTTAGGCCCATTTAACAAATTAGATAAAGCTATAACTGATGGCTCAAATAAGTGTTCGAAAGATAGGAAATCATATTTATTACTGAATACAACATTAATAGTGATAATGATAGTGACCAGATACTGTATCATACACTTCTTATGCATTATCCCACAATGTCACTACCTATACAACACACTGTGTGATAGGTACCATGACTACCCCCATTTCACAGATCAGAAAATAGACACGGAAAAGTGAGATAAGGTAAAAAGTCTTAAATGGCAGAGTAAGGTCAAATCATAGCAGTCTGATATGGCTAGACGTCTGCCTTATGATCACAATATATGAACAGCAATGTCACATTTCTAGAACACATTCCAAAATGAAAACCCAGGCAAAAGGGCTTCTGAGCATAAGCCTGCCGTAATACTGGAGGGTGGAAAGAAAATTCAGTCTGAAAGTAGGCCCATCTGGTTTTAGGCCCCAGATCTACTACTTACTAGAAGTGACAACTTAAGTAAGCTATTCTCAGTCTCAGTTTCCTTATCTGCAAAAATGGGGAAATGATGCCATTGTAAAGATTAAGCAAAATGACATAAATAATGATGCTTAATCAATATAATGATGTCAAAATTCCTAAGTAGAGTGTAAACTCTCACTAATGTTATTGTCGTAGTATTGTTCCTTAACTCTGCTGCCTGTTTGCTCTCTCACTCTCTACTTTCTACACCATTAAGATGACTATTTTTATAAAATTAGTATGTGCTGATTTTTTAAAAACTATTACAGAGATACAGAAAAAATAAGGAAAATCACCCACATAAATGTTTCATTAAAAATAGAATATTTAAAACTTGCTTTTTTCATTTAATAATACCTCTTCTATATAAATACAGATGCATCTCTCTCTCTCTATATATATATATGTCTCTAAGAAAGAATAAAATGGAATTATATACAATATAATATGTTTATATATGTCTACTTATAGATTTGTAAAATAACCTGAATTTTTAGCACAAATATACAGAAGTACAAGTTTTAGATCATTTATGTATCATTTTATAGCTATTGATACATACTTCTAAATTGCAACAGCATACAGTACAATAATGCCCATTTTTCACACAAAAAATGTGAGCATTAATATAAAAATACCAAATTGATGGAAGAAAACTGGAATGTTATTGTTCTAACAGGGATATTTTTGTTTACCAGTGAGATGAAACATTTTTCATGAATTTATGTTCAGTCATTTTATTTCATAACTTTATGTTTCCAATGAAAAGTAAGCTGATTTTTAAACTAAAGCTGCCTACATGTGTACCTTTCAAAGATCATTTCTTTCTAAGTTACAGTATGTAGAAAATACATTTTTTAAAAGTTAGCAAGGTATTTTTAGAAGCTGACGGAATGAGACATTTTAAAAAGAAGAGAGAGCAAAGCCAAGAGAACCACCAAATCTACAGTGGCTTCGAGCTACCCACTATAGTATATTGAAACACATAATAATAAAGGTTGAGTCATCAAAAATATTTGTTTGGTTTAATAATAAGAAAAATGAAATTATTTATTAGATTGTAAACATATTTACACCTAAATTGTTAGTATTTGGAACCTGAAAAGTTAATAATTGTCTGAAATTTTCACTTATGTGAATATTTTATTCCTGTGATGATAAACAATGCATTATTTATTTTATTCTATTGTTATAAGAAATATACAGCTTTACAACAATAGATCACAATATTTGGTATGTGCCAGAATGAATTTGGACTTCTCAATTTCCATGTATTTCCAAACTAGTATAAATGGAAAATATAGTACAAACTGGCAGGCCCCAAATGATTTATTCTTAACTCTAAATTTTTACATAATGTTACTTTGTAGCTGAGTTGAAGATAGACTCATTTTCTTTAAAAAATGAACTGATCTTTATCATAATAAAATAGCATTGCCTAGAAGAATGCCTAGTGTATAGGCATTCTTAAGTAGAAACTTAAGACATGTTTGTTGAATAAATTGTGTTAAAGCAAAGAGAAATGTTTAGTTTTATGAGAAAGAACATGCTAAAATAACAGGATTACTGTATAAACTCAAAAAATATTTAGGGTCTTTAATCAAATATTTGATGAAATATTTGGTAGATTTTTTTCACAAGTATTACTAACTAATTGCACTATGATATAAAAAGATATGCAGTGTGATGTAATGAGAACGATCTGGGGCTAAGATTTGAAACACCTAGATTTTAGTCCTCTGACTCCTCAATAACTGTGACATTGAACAAACCACTTAACCTCCCTTAGCATCATTTTCTCCAGCTGTAAAATGGTGATGATAATAACTTCCTATGCAACACGGAGGGTTATTGTAAAGATGAGATAATAGATGTAGAAATGCTCTATATAAGGTCTATATAAATGTGGGATATTATATAGATGTGTTCAGACCAAAGGAAAATCAGAACAAGCTCACAGAGACAGAATAGCTAAATGTGACTGCCGTATTTTCAACTCTGAATAGAGTTAGATAAGGAAAATGTATTAGTCCATTTTCATACTGCTACAAAGAACTGCCCAAGACTGGGTAATTTATAAAGGAAAGAGGCTTAATCGACTCACAGTTTAGCCTGGCTGGGGAGGCCTCAGGAAACTTAGAATCATGGCAGAAGGTGAAGAGGAAGCAAGGCACCTTCTTCACAAGGTGGCAGGAAGGAGTGCTGAGCAAAACAGGAAGAGCCCCTTACAAAATCATCAGATCTCACGAGAATTCACTCACTATCATCAGAACAGTATGGGGGAAACCACCTCCATGATTCGATTACTTCCACCTGATCTCTTCCTTGACAAGTGGGAATTATGGAGATTATGGGGATTACAATTCAAGATGATATTTGGGCGTGGATACAAAGCCTAACCATATTAGAAAGATAATCTAAATGAATTCCAAATGACTAGGTTTTCTTCTAAGAAACAGCAATTTAAAATAGATAACCTCTAAATGTCCATCTCATACTCAATACTACATAGTTTCTAAGTAAGAGTAGGTGCATTAAAGCAAGTTTGAAGTCATGATTATGTTTTCTTACAGTTTTACTCCCATGTGTCCCAAATAATGTACATTTAACTGACAGCAGAAATCATTGTTATAGCCCCCTACCGGACCAAACAGTAAACAGCCCCTACTGGACCAATCAGAAAAATCCAGATCTCTCAAGGCTACACTTCACACAAGAAAAACGAAAGTTATATAAACATCCTTTCCATAGAGAATTTCAGAATTAAAGATGAAGATATGTATAAAATATGGAGTTACACAAAACTCTGCAAATATATACACTATAAATGTTCAGAGATAAAGAAATGCAGAAATTTTCTAAGCTATTTATTCAGTAATATTGCTGAGCATTTAAAAATTGCCAAGCACTGGGATAAGATGTTTAAACAAAGAATATGAAAGTACAGATATGGATTTATGAATGATATATTAAAAAAATTCTAACACGTGCCTCTTACCACTTAATGGGCCAGATTCTGTGGCTCATGTCTGTAATCCCAGCACTTTGGGAGGCTCAGGCTGGAGGATCACTTGAACCCAAGAGTTCGAGACCAGCATAGGCAACATAAAGAGACTTCATCTCTACTAAATAAATAAATATGTTAGCCAGATGTGGTGACATAACACCTAGTCCCCGCTACTTGGGAGGCTGTAGTGAGATAATTGAGCCCAGGAAGTCCAGGCTACAGTGAGCCGTGATTGTGCCACCATACTCCAGCCTGGGTGACAGAATGAGACACTGTCTCAAAAAAACAAAACAAGGCAACAACAAAAACAAAACTAAAATGCTTTAAGGTTGACTTTTAATTTACAGAAAAATAGAATTAAGAAGTCCTTCTGGATCTTCAGAGGAAAGATTTATATAAAAATGTTCTATTTCCAATGGACTAGAGCTGTTAGTATTGTCCAAAACCTTAGTTAATTTCATACAGTCTTCAATGTATTCCCAAATTTCTATCCAGTTTTAAAACAGGCACATACCAGTTGAGTTTGACACAAAACAAAATAAAAACCAATTAAAATTTAAGCCTGTCAAAGTTTAAATTTCATATACAAAATGGTTCCAGTTAAACAAAGTTAGTTTTAGTCCTTGCTGATTATTTTACCAAGAGATATCAAATTTTTCTGTTTAACAGATTTAATTATTCATTTAAAAATTATTATTGCCTTTTTTCTAATAATTTCTAAACAAATTAATCTCTTTTAAATTGCTAAAAATTATTTTTGTTTTACTTTAATCATCTACCTAGCAATCTCTCTCTTCTGCTTGTGTTTTCTATCTACATTTATGCTCTGATTGAACAATATTGATATTGTAAAATGTTAAGTATTTGATTGACAGATCTAAACTTAAATTGCAATCAATCTATTTGTGTCTTGTTTTTCTTTGTAGAAATAGCTAAAAGTATGATAGAGACATTTGTTCTTACATTCAGTAGAACTTCGAGTGAGTATAATATAGATTGTCAATACATTGTATTAAATGGCATTTATTCCAATTTTGAAACCATAACTATTTAATTTCTTTCCTCCAAGGCTCTGGGAAGGATCAAACTTAATCCTTTTTCACTTTTATTTATTTACCTAGTGCATTGTTCCATATTAAATTCCCCACTAGCGCTTCAACAGTCATTTAAAACAGCATGCAGACTTCCAGACCTATCAGAATGACAGAAAAAATATTCTGGAGAAACTACCAAATGAAATACAATGAAATAAGTAAAAGAAAATGGGGAAGAAAATTAAAATGTAGCCAAAAAATGCACAGTGACTAGAAAATAAGTGATAGGAATCACCCAGAGATCTAAATCTTTCCGTGAATTTTTTATCAAATCCAGAATTCTGAGTTTCCGTTGATAGTTGCACAAAGTATGGAACAGGTTATAAATCCTAAAACCAGCTAAGTTGGGAAATGTAACAAGAAATTCCCCACGTAAAGCTAAGACCTCTGTGGATATATCCTCATTTTAAAGGTGATATAAAAATGAAGTTTCCACAAGAAAGAAAGAGCAAGGAATATTGCTTGTCCTAATCTTGGCACTAAGTGGAGGAAACAAATGAACACACACAAATTCTTCCCTAAGAATTTGTTGTAATCATAATTTAGCCTTCCAATATGTCTGGAAAACATCATGAAAAAATTTAATTTTAGTGGTCCTGGTTTGGGTTTATTTCAGGAAATTGACAGAAGCAAGCATGAATACTCTTGGAGAATTGTAATTTGAACTCAAGCAAAAAAGAATTTTCAAAGAATTATATTTTAAGACATTTCTTAAGATAAATAAGCAGCTTACATTTAAATTTACAAAACATACAGGGAAAAAAGCCACCATGAATAAGATCTAAGGAC
This sequence comes from Homo sapiens, assembly GCF_000001405.40. Taxonomy (NCBI): domain Eukaryota; kingdom Metazoa; phylum Chordata; class Mammalia; order Primates; family Hominidae; genus Homo; species Homo sapiens. The sequence continues at coordinate 91,908,199 of NC_000005.10, read as the reverse complement.
GAACAGTAGATTCATATCCTTAAAGATTTTAGATATTGAAATGATCAGCACCAAATACAAAATAAATATGATTAATATGAAAAAAGACAAGCTCAAAAATACAAGCAAGAAATAAGAGTTCATAAAGGGCATTCGATCATACTGAAAAAAGTAATATAGAATTTTTAAAGCGTATAATACAACTAAAATGTCAATGTAATCAAAACATAGATCCAAAGAATTTATGTAAAAGAAGTGTTCAAACAAACTGATACATGAAAAATATAAAAGTTAGTCTAACATTACTAGTACTAGAAAAAGAACATGAAATAAAGGAGATGAAGCAATAAGCAGAGATCAGAGATGATGGCTAATATTTCTCCAGGTTTATGGGAGAGCACTAAACCTGAGCCTGAAAAAGCCAAATGGACCTCAAGCATTATAACTGAAAATAAATCACATCTGCAAATATCCTGGTGAAATTGTAGAACATCAAAGATGAAAAGAAGATATTAGATGTAACCAGAGATAAAAGAAAGATCCAATAAAAAGAAAAGCAATAAAACTGACAGATGACTTCACAGCAGCAACAATGAAAGACCAAACATAGAGTGTTTTCAGTCTGCTCTTAATCTCTGCATCAGCTGGAACTCTCTACATTGCAAGTGGGAGATTCAAATGGTACAACTACTTTTGAGAACTGTTTGGCAATTTCTTAAAAAGTTAAATGTATATCATATGACCCAGGAACTCCACCCCTATATATTTATCCAGAAGAAATAAAAATATACATACACAAAAAGACTTTCACTCAAATGTTTATAAGAGTTATACATAAAATCTCATACTTCCCGGTGGCTACAGACAGTGGCATCTGCATAGCTTCCTACCTTCCAATATTACCCCAAACAATAGGAACAAGAACAAAAATGTAAACTCTACATAAATCTATGCCTTCAACATTAATCAAAAATAGACAATACTGAAGCATCAAAACAAGTGTATGTAGAAAGAGAAAAGTTACCAAATTTTTATAGGCTGACTCTTGTGCTTCCTTTCCCTCCCTGCCCTATTGCCTTGCTGTAAGGCTTTGAGGAAGCAAAGCCAGATCAAGAATAACTTCAGAGAAGAAAAAAGAAGAAAACTGGGTGAAAGTGCCTAAGAGTGATCAAAACAAATACCAAAAGATTAAGTCCATCCTCAATCTAAAAATATTAAAACAATGTTCAAGCAGATCAGAGCATGGACTACAGGGAAGAAATTTCAAAGTATATGTGGAAGGACAGGTTCAATTTAAAAAGGACACTTTTCAAAATGCATAGCTTCTGAGAAAGACAATAGAACAAAAACAAAAATGGGAAAAGCACTCTGACAATTGTGTGGCGAAGAGGAAAAGAACAAAAAATAAGACAGGAGAAATACAGGATCCTGGCCAAAGAGAACCATAAATTCAGAAGACTCACAACCCCCATCCTACCACACCAAAACAAATAAAGGAACAGGACAGAGAACCTGGAGTTGCTATACTAACAGATAGGGTGAAATTGTGACATTAAGCTAGGAATTTCATGAAATACCTCAGTATAAAAGTAAACAATAGGAAATGTAAGTCCATATTAAGCTATTGCAAAAAATCAGGGAACAAAATGTCACAAAAAAACCAACTGAGTAAACCACTTCCTTCTACAAAATAACCTTGAATTCAAAGAAAACTGAAAATCAACATGACAAATATGATTAAATATACTCAAGCATTTGAGGATATGCAAAAGCATCTTGAATGAGAAATTCATAAATAAAAATTAGAAATAGGCATAGAGATGATAAAGTTGATTGAACTCAGGAAAGAAATGAAAAAATGAAAACATTACCTCAAAAATAAAAAATAGATTGCAAAGTTCTCAAAGAGTAGCCTCAAATAAATATTTAACAAGGGTCACTGATGACAGGTAGGAAAGCAACCAAGAAAATGAGTCATGAAAGAAATAAAGAGGCTTAGAAAGCAAGCAGTGGAAATGGAGGACCCATAAAGTAGAAGTAATACTTTTATCACCTATGTCCCTGAAAGAGAAAAAAAAAAAAGGCAATGGGCAAATGGACAGGGCAAATATTTAAAACTATAATCCAAGATAGAATCCTTTTCTGTTTGCATCACTTCCTAAATGACAGGCCTCCTTTCCCTTTGGTTGTGTGATATGTCAACTGGCTGCATTCATTCTTACATTGGAAATAGGCAAAATTCCTTTTTTTTCTTTCTTTCTTTTTTTTTTTTTTTTTTTTTGAGATGTAGTCTTACTCCGTCTCCAGGCTGGAGTGCAGTGGCTTGATCTCAGCTCACTGCAACATCCACCTCCTGGATTCAAGGGATTCTCCTACCTCAGCCTTCCGAGTAGCTGGGACTACAGGTGCGCACCACCATGCCCAGCTAATTTTTGTACTTTTAGTAGAGACGGGGTTTCACCATGTTGGCCAGGATGGTCTCAATCTCTTGAACTTGTGATCCACCCGCCTTGGCCTCCCAAAGTGCTGGGATTACAGGTGTGAGCCACCGTGCCCAGCCGCAAAATTTCTTTTACTCAAACAATATTATTTTTATTCCCTATGTATGCATAAAATGTTATGTTTTTCAAAACATACGCACCTTTGAAAATATTGCTTACAATTCTGTAAATTAGAGAATGTGCTATTCCCATTCAGCAGATGGAGAAATGGCATGATAGAGAGAAACTTTGTTTAAGGTCCTCAGCTAGGCGGTGATGGTCTAGTTCTACCAGTCACATGTTGAAAGTATTCCCTAATACTTTCTCCACCACAGCAAAATGTAGTCTGTGCCACTGAATTGGAAATATTTATTGAGTTTTACAATGTGCTATCAATTTAACCAAGTCACAGGCTGACCAATTTCTCCTCAAGGATCTGTTCTGTGTTATACAAATATTCATATCAATATCATATTGATGTTACTCTTATGGTTTTCCTTGGATTCCTTAAAAAAATAAATATTCCCTTCAGAAATTTTAGTATGTCGTTTTCCAGGTCTATCAGTGCTTTTCTTTCTTGGTGGCTGCCTTCTCAGATTCAAAAAACAAATATTTAAAAAGTTGTTTTTATATCTGCTAAGGCTTCCTCTCACAGAAAAATGTTTTCTCATTTTCCTCCATTATGAAAATTGGTATTTCCAACCAGAGAAAAAAAGAGGACAAAGAAGTTTGTTGTATTTTTTCTTGTCAAGAGAACATTTTTTCAATTTAGCAAAGTTAATAAAACTGAGTGTTTGGGTTTATTTTTTCTTCTTATGTAACTGGGCACAATGATTATACACACACACACACACACACACACACACACACACACACACTCCTGAAACCTTTGTCTCCAGTATTTTTTTTCCTTTCCTACAGTCCCTAGGAATTTTTTTAAGTCACATTGTAATGACATAATAATCAGTCTCTACTTTAAGAGTTCAATCTCTATTATCACCTACTTAACAACAAATTACCTACTATATAATAAATTGAAACTAAAATTTAAGACATAGGAGTTTTAAATGTCTATTAGTGCTAAACAAATGTGAGTTTCTTCTGAGACTTATACTACATGTAGAAAAAAAAGGTATGGTTTATGAATTAAAAAGTTGTTTTTATATTCACAAATATAATTCAAATCAGTCTGAAATTCTCATCTTAAAGAACGGTCCTGAATTTCCAGCAGCATAAAAGATATTTTTCTGTTGAATTCTCTACTCACCTTCTCAAACTCAATTTGGTTTTCACCTCTCAAAATTAACCTCTCTTCCTGATTGTCCTGTTTTCAATTAATGGGTCTATTCTTTCATTTACTCAGTATATTAATCAGTTTGGGCTTCTGTAGTAAGGTACCATGGACTGGGTGGTTTATAAACAACAGAAGTTTATTTCTCACAGTTCTAGAAGTTGAAAGCCCAAGTTGAGGGTATCAACATGGTGAGTTTCTTGTGAAGGCCCTCTTCCAGGTTGCAAACTGAAGATTTCTCATTTTATCATATTGTATAAAGAGAATAAGAGAGCTCTCTGGGGTACCCTCTTATGAAGGCACCACCAATAACATTCATGAGAGATCCACCCTCATGACCTAATTACCTCCCAAAGGTCCCACCTTCTAATGCCATCACATTGGGGATTAGGATTTCAACCTATGAATTAAGGAGTGACACAAGCCTTCAGTCCACTGAACTCAAGACTCAAAACCTCAGAGCAATCATTATCTCATCCTCTTCTTTTCATTCCCTGTATTTAACCAGTCATTAAGTCTATCAATTGATTTTCAACTTCTTTTGCCTAATCCTTTCCTTTTCATTGCAATTGTCATTCTAATCTTCATTGCTTCACACTTGTTCTCCCAGTTCGTGTCCCTATTTTTAGACTGCTTCCCCCCCACCAACAAATTGTATATATTGCCACAAAATCAAGATCAATGTTGGCAAGACACTGATTTCATCATTTCAGACTTCTTGCTCCAAATCCTCAATACCTGTCCCTTCTGTCTATACAATACAAGTCAAATGTCTAAAATTGGAATTAGGACTCTTGTAGTCTAATTCTAACCTGCCTTCCTTAGCTTCACCTCTTATGTAAATACTTCTCTGCCTACACCTGGATACTCTACACCTGGATACAATTTACTCTACTATGTTTTTTTGTCTTAAGTTTTGTGTAAAAGGACTATATCAGTTAGAATAACTTCAGTTGTTAGCAGCTGAGTACTACGATACGAAATAGCTAAACAGTAAGTGGTTTATTATTTCACATAACAAGAATTCTGGAATTGATTGTTTTCAGGGTTTTTTTAATTAGTTCAGTGACATCAACGATACAAGTTCTTACCAATTTTCTGCCAAACCATGCTTGGTATATTAACCAAACCCTTCACAGAATAGAATGTTTCAAGCTCCTATCTCCAATTCAATCACTTGGTATGAAGAATGGGGTCACTTTTAATGTTTTAAGCAAATATAGATGCACCCATTGCAACTGAGGAGTCCCAGGATCCTTTGAAAGACAAGGACCCTGAAAAGGGTTTAGTTAACAAGAATGTATTTCTAAAATGGCTGTAAAAGAGGCTAATATTAATTTGCCACTAAGAGTCTCCCTCCCCCCAAGAAATTCCTATCTCAATTATATATTTATTGATTAATATTTATAAAAGTTCAATTGGTTTTAGGTATTATAGCAGTAAACTACCTAGAAGAGATAATATATTGGCTAGTTGCACAATAAGAATGAGTTTATCTGACTAAACTTTTATGACCGATTACTGCAAATATAAAGACACACACACACAAACACATACAACCAAGCCAACCAATAGAGACTGACATGATTTAGCCACATTTACAGATATGCTGTGCCATGTTAGGGCTCTAGATTGCCTGAGTCAGAATGAGGAAATGATTTATAGGAGCAAATGGCAGGCAAGACCCTAGTAGAAGTACTGGAAGGACACATACAAAAGGTATAGCTTCCCTTACAGTTCTATCTGTGGCATTGTTTCCTTCAAAGATCAATCTGAAGGCATTTTCTTTCAAGATATTTTTCCTGTTAAGTCCAACTCTATTACTTGTCTTCTTCACATTTCTTCTTTCATTCTCAGGACTGTGTTCTAAGAAAAATTTCTTGCTCTCCAGAAAATTATTTAACTCAGCAAAATCCTATCCGAATGGGATCTTGTCAACATCTCCAGCTGGGAGTAGTGAGCCATTATTTTTCTATTATCTTCATTATTATTCTGTATTAGAATTCATTGTATCACATAAGTAATATGAGCTCATGGACACCACAAAGAGCTGTAAGCACATTTCTATTTTTCTAGCTTTTCCTTTTGATTTCTTACTTTTAATTACTAGAAAAGCTAGAAAAACTCTTACTTAAGAAATGCTGCATTAAAACCCTTACAGGGGTTCATATTAAAATATCGCTGTAACTTTTGAGGGAATGATCTTTTGTTGGTCTTGTTCTGTCTTAAATTTCTCTGCTATTTTTTGTTTCTTTGCTCTTTTATTTTTCTGGGAAAATAATGCATGCATTCAAAGCCTTAAATACAATTCTGGAAGAAAAAAAAAAGAAAACACTTCTACTTCAAGTAATAGTAAGTTAAAGATTGGCCACTACTTTGAATTTCTTCTACATATTAGTCATTGCTGTATGAAAACAAAATTTTCATCTTCCATATCTCTAGCCTAGTAAAACCACTCTAAAGTATTTGCATAAGAATTAACTCTGACAACAAAGGCCAAAAGTACAAATCCTACTGCCCCATGCTTAACATCCTTTTTGTACAATGAAGGCAATTTTCATTAATACCCCAAATTTCTGTAATAGTCACATTTATTTGATTTGTAAGGGAGCTTATCTTTTCTGTGTTTTCCTCTCCAATTTTCTAAGTTTCCTTATGTTTACCTGACTTCACAAATTAGCCTGATCATTGTACACCATTGTCTTCAGTATGAGAAGCTAGAACTGAGGGGTATTTCTCTGGGCCAGACACTTCTGTGGTAGTTCACAGGCAATTGCTGAAGCCAATTAGATGTTGTTTGCAATGAAAATTTATCCTTAGTGCCACCTACCTCATGGTGAAAAGCAGCACTCTCTTTTTCTATTACATTTCATCAAGGGCTGTCCCACAGCAAAGTTGCCTAGGTCCCAAAGATTTGCAGCCCTTATAATACACAGTCAAAGCCATTTCCCAAGAACCTACAAATGTCAAAGAGATGTCTGTGTCACCATGAGCTCTGCTGTCACCAACATGCTGTGGTGAGAACAAACACTCCCCTCTGATGTATAGGCCTTGACCCTGGACTCGCTTTGTCTGCCAGACTCCTTTTGTGGCGTGCCTTTTCTCAAGGCCCACACTGCTTCTTCCAGTGCTGTTTTCTTTAATGTATACCTAGAATGTGTGATACTTTATCTTTTTAAAGATCACAATTGTAAACAACCAAGCAGTATAACTTTGGCTTCTCACAGCCATGGTTCAAATCCAACTCAATCTCATTTGTGATCCTGGGTAAATTAGGTACGATTCCAGTCTCCTTTTCGGTATCTGTATAGCAGAGTAATACTTTCATCACAGAGTTGTCGCGAAGACCAAAAACAATATACAATGCTTCTAATACCATCTCTGGCACATTCTAAGTATTGAATAATTGGTACTTGTCTATGGCCATACCACCCTGAACACGCCCAATCTCTTCTGAATAACTGGTACTTTTTTATCCTAGAAGATAATTCCCAAATGCCAATGAAAATTAGTGATGCAAGAGCATCTTAGGAAAGAACAGGGCTGTGCCTGACCCTTCTCACCAAAAACTTCAGTGCTTTGTACCTGCCAGACGAGATGCCCAGGATGTACTGTCACAAGAATACAATAGCACGAATTACAAATTGGTTTCAATACTTAATTAAGATTGTAACTCTACTGAAGACTGGGTAACAATCACCATAATGTTGGGTCTATTTGAATACAGAAATAATTTAAGAAATCTTAAACATCTCTAAAAATTATATTACACTGCTATATTGATTGTTTTGTATCTTAAAAATACCTATATTGAAATAGCATAGACTCACATAAATTAAGAAAATTTTAACACTAATTAAATATGTGAACCCACCAAAAATATTTCCCATGCCTTCACAACGCATGTGTGTGCACATGCACTTGCATACCCACATGCTTGCATTAAACCCTGTTGCTTCCATATGATCTATTCTTCAAGACAAATTGATTGTTGATTGAGTTTCTAAAAAAAGCAATAATTTAACAGTTTCTTTTAAAATTAGTATTAATATTATTGTTGCTATTGCTACTGATTGTGATTGGGAAACCTGCAGGAACTTGGAAAAAAGTAACAGTTTCACCCACACTTTCTTGTTTGAACACTATAACATTTGACATGTCTGGTTTATCTATACCTATTGATAGGGTTTTTTGTGTGTATCATTTTTATTCGTCTATCATAAGGTCTTAAAACAATCAGATTAAACCTCCAACATCTGGATATTCTAAACAAAGAGACAGAAACCATTAAAAAAACTATATAGGTCATATTGACAGAAGGACACTTACAAATATGGAGCAATTATGTTTTAGAAACATCTAGAGTATCAAGAAGGCTAGGGAGATTCTAGTGGGAGCAAGGGTTATCTGTTAGCTCTCTTCAGCAGAAGATAACTAAGTTTTCTAAAATGTATATAATTGGCAGCCATTTTGTGGCTGGTCCCTAAAATGAGAAATGGCATAACTGTTTAATTCAAGAGTTATGATTTACCCCATTGTCAAGAGATCTTTATCATAAAGAAATTTTTCACATTTTTGAAATAAGAATTACAAATTTGATAATATATTTTCCATTAGTTCCTTACTTAATGACATATGAATTGCACTGCAATGACCATTCAGAACATTAAATATGAATAATACTTCACTATTAACATTGAACATTATTTATGTACAATTTAATCAACTGCTCCAAGATAGAAACTTGTTCATATTTGTGTTTGACTTGACTATGAAGGTTTTTCAACTTTAGAAATAGAAGTTTTAAGAAATGCTCTTGAATGTTGTTTTCATTTCCTATCAAAGTATTTTAATGGTATTCCAGTAAGATATTAACATTTTTTATCTTAGTAACCTAAAGGTAAGCTTTCTTTACATGTGCCCAGTTAATAAGGTTCTTAGAAATATATAATATTTTCCTCCAATATAATCACAGAAACATATTTATGCAGCCCTGCATTTTAAAATTCACTCAATTGATTTCTCCACAGGGCTTGCTTGTCATAGTGCTTTGTTAACCTACGCACTACAGTACAGTATATTAGACAACTTTGCCTTGCAACATCAATTAGAAAAAAAATAATAACCAAAATAGTTTGCCTTCCAAATTCTTAGCTGCCCCAATGCTTAAAGCCAATGATGTGTAGAAAAGAAAAATCCTCATAACTCCTTGCCTGATAAATGAGTAGGGAGAATCTGACAGATCAGAACGAGATGAAGCAGCCTAAAACATTTGGCACAATGTGCGTCTGGCATACAGAGACTGCCTGTCAAATGCCTATGACTCCATACAGCAGCTAGGGACCCTATGGAGCAGCAGATGGGCCATTAAGGTAGTATTAATGTAGATGCCATCAGTTTTCAGTTCTGACTGGGACATACTCTTTAGAACTATGAGCAGCTGCTGCCATTTATTGTGACAGCTTCCTGCTAACTTTTGCCAACTGGCACAATCTGACTCTTTGTACCTGAGCTATTAAATGTGTGACTTCCACCATTTTACTCCTCCAGAGAATGCTTTTAATAATCCTCTAAAGAAGGAATGAAGCATTTATCACCAAAGTGAATATACATACCATGCAGTTCTATTGTACAACACTCCTGCCCAGTGCACTTTATAGACCTTATATTAATACATTCTTATTAAAACTAAGCATGGATCTTTTCATACATATGAAAGTGCTAGATTGAAAATGATCACTCATATTAATTCTAAACCTTTAATGAAATATTGATGCATTTAACTGTTAATTAGCTAGGATTTTTTATCTTTTGAAATATTTTTTCCCTGAGAAGCAAATGTTTTTTTAAATGTCATATAAAATATAGTAATAAATTAACAAACCAAGAGTAAATTATTTCATAGCTTTCTAAGTATAAGTAAATATTTTTATCTCGAGAGGTTTAAATACACCTGCTGGTTTCATTCATGTGTAGGAAGAAGTTTTGGATGTATGAATAGATTTTAAAACTCTATAATCTGAATAATATCTCTGCAATAGATTGTAAACAATGCATTATAAATGATGGTAATTGTGCATTTATCACCTGCAGAACAATTTCAACAGAATATGCAACCAAACTATTGGCAGAAGCAGCACTCTGCTGCCTTCCTTTCATCCAGCTAGACTTCGAGGGATACATTGCATCATTTTTGATTATGTCGAACAAGAAAGCTCACAGTACAACACAGCATACGGTTTGTCAGACAATAAAAACTGCAGCAAGTCATTATAAAAATGGCTGGCAGACATATTCATTATGCTGAGCTAACGTCTTTTCTGCTTCAGATATCTCTGCAATCTGACCAATAATCTATGCATGAGATTTCTAAACAGATCTCACCCATTCGATACTATATTTCACAGGAACGTCTCTGTGTGTATTTATACATATGTATGCACACACACACACACACACACACACACACAAACACTAAATCTTAAAGAAGTTAAACTTCCTAAATTCATTTTGATGTGTGCAATAATGAGAATGCGTCTATCAGAATACATAATAGTTGAAATTTTTAAAGATGTTGACATTTATAATACAACTATTAAACTGTTCCTTAAGATTAGATATGTTAAAGAAATAGTATAGAAATAATATTTAAGATGCCCTATGTTGCATGAACAGAAAATAGGTGAAATGATGGTGCAAATAAACCGAAGAATAGTCAAAGGAATGCCATCTAGATGCCAAGATACAATAACTCCCACATCTTCTTCCATTAACAAACCTGTGACATCTGACAGAATTTCTGACTCCTTTTACTACCTATAAGTTGTGTGTGTGTGAGAGTTCATATGCATTTACTTGCCTTTGAATATTTATTTCTAAAAGAATTGAAGAGTATTTATTTCAGGGTAACTCCAAAGCGTGAACATTATATTACGGAAATAGACCAAAAAAACAGCATTACTGAAAATGAGTGTGATTTACAAGAATGCAAAGAAAACTAAAACTATTATATTAAAATTTAGAGCCTGGATAGAAAACACATATTAAAATTTTGATTTATTTGTTTAATCATAGTTGTTGATATGTTGATGTATTTAGATTTTTCGTGGTTTGGGTTTTTTTAACATTTTCATTTTCACATGGTATATTTCACTTTACTTCAGATATTACCATACCCATAAGACAACATGAACTTGTTTTGAATGTTTAATAGTGCTCATAGTGATGAAGTTATTTACAGTAGCTAACTTTTGTTAGCCTTTCATAGGTTAACACAAGAAATTTTACTCAATTCTGTAAAAAACTGGCAAAATCTAAAATGGTTTTTGAAAATTCTGCATTATTTAGTTTGATTTTGTATCAGCTCCAAATTAAAGATGTTAATTTAGTGACAACATTTTGAAAATAACCTAACAATGCATTTGAAAAACATTAACCTCAAAACAAGGGTACAGTTCATATTTATCACCTGTAGCAGTGTTCCCTCAGAGAAGTATCTAACAGAACTTTTTCAGGGGAGGGGTATTCTGTTTCTTCATGGAGAAACTAAGGCCCAATAGATGGAACCACCAGATTGTCTCTGTTGTATGAAAATGAATAAGTAAATGGAAACCAGAAAGGCTGGAGGCCAATTTCTTCAAGAGAAATGGAAAGTTTTAGAATACTATGCTGATATAATAAATACAGCAACTGATCACAGAGATTTATGGTACATATGCATTTCAATGGAAGGCTAAATTCAGAAAGAACTATGTGAAGTTATATTATTGGTCTTACCTTAATCCTACTGCTTAGGAGTGGTGATTTTGTATTTAAAAATGTGTGTTTTATATATGTTATTTTCAAGTAGAAATGTAATTTTTTTTTTTACAAAAACCAAAGGACATAAAGGTCACTTATCTATTCCAGCAAAGTATTCAATTAATTAATTTAGAAATGTAATTCTAAATAATAAAATGAAATCTTGATATGATACTGTATCTTGGCAAATCAGAGCCAGAAAATATGTTAATATTTTCAAGACTCCTGCTTTAAAATGTTTATTGAAGAACTAAAAATAAATAGCTTTATCTCTCAAGTCCTTTCTGCAGGGATAGTTTTGTAAACCACTGCAGTATCATGTATAGTAGTGCTATAACATCAATGATTATATGTAATGTGCAGGATTTTCACCTATTAAGTTTTTCAAAGACAAAAGTAGTAAAAATGTTTTGCTAAAAATCAATGTACACAATCTCGAATCTTAGAACTTCTGAGGCATCTTCCCTCACAGGCGTCACTTGTATTTCTAATCTGGTTCAAACTGCTAATGTCGCTACGATCTGAATAGAAATATTTCACTGAATTGCAGAAAGCATTTCAAGAGGTAAAATCTAAACACTTAAAAGGAGAATAAACTTTAAGATTGATCATTTTTAATAAAGATATGTTAATCCCTATTGTGACTTTTTTAAAGTCAACAGAGATGGACTGGAAATCAATCATACTGAGATTCAGTTAATAAATTTATTTCTTTATGTTTTATTGGTTTTGTAATCAATAGGAACACAAAAAAATTAATTGCCTATGGTAGATATTTGTGACAAATTAAGATAATATGTTATTTGATTATTGTGTTAGTCTGATTAGGCTGCCATATCGAGACACCACAGATTGGGTAGCTTAAACAGCATTTACTTCTCACAGTTATGGAGGTTGGGGAGTCCAAGATCAAAGCTTCAAAAGATCCAGTGTCTGTTGAGGACACTCTACCTCTTTTGAAATGGCTATTTTTTTTTGTTTTGTTCTCACATGGCCTAGAGAAAAAAAAAATCATCTCTCTCCTGTCTCATCTTATAAGGGCACTGGTCAAATTCATGAAAGCTTTCCGCTCATGGTGCAATTACCTCCAAAAGGACCTACCTCATGATATCATCACATTGGGGGTTCAGATTTGAATATATGAATTTTGGGGAGGACACAAACATTCAGTCCATAACAAATACAAAAAGTAACAGACCAAGCATCAGTAATATGCAAGAACCAAAATTATGGAATTATGGACTAGATCCACAGCCAAACCCAATCCATAAGCAGATATTTGTTGATTTAAAAAAATGGCCAGAGATGCAATTTTTAAGAAATAGCTATTTATATTCATCAGTGTGCACATTTTATGAACTTAAAAGCCTATCAATATCCTCTGTGATTCAAAGTAAACGAAAATAATAAGAAGAGCAACAGCTGAATTACTTGATTTACTTAGCAGAATAGTACTCTAAGTACAAAAGTTTCCATCGGTAGTGATTTTGCAACAATTAATAAGGTTACAATGCTTGTGTTTTCTTTGCCTTTTAAACTTCATGGTAACAGTTTATTTAGAAAAGTGGTATTTAAAAACATACAGAAATCTTAAGTTAAAACGAAATTACACCGTTTGGCATGCTCTTACTTCACTCTTTTTAGATAAGCACAAAAGTTAAAAAATATAAAAATAAAAATACCAGAAAGAACTGAACTGTGAAACTATCTTTGTTTCCTTTGAGTGATTTTCCTTCTTCACAAACAACCACAGGGTACATGGAAGCACCAAATGTGGATAGAGGGAAACAAAATGGAGACCCACACCACCCATCTTTCACCACAATTTATCTTTTCCTATTCTTTCATAATTCTGCTTATATATCCTACTTCCTCCTTGAAACCTTAAAAAACCATTTTAACTAGTTGTAATTCAATTTAGTACTTGATTAATAGAGAAAAGCATCTTTGTTTTTCCCGGAACCAGTCTAGTCTTTCTCCTAAGCCCCTAATGTTTAGTTATCAGGGGAAAACAAACAAGCAAACAAGGAATTAAAACGGTATTTTTTTTTTTTTTTAGACGGAGTCTCGCTCTGTCTCCCAGGCTGGAGTGCAGTGGTGCATTCTCGGCTCACTGCAACCTCCACCTACCGGGTTCAAGCAATTTCCTGCCTCAGCCTCCCAAGTAGCTGGGATTACAGGCACCCACCACCATGCCTGGCTAATTTTTGTATTTTTAGTGGAGATGGGATTTCACCATCTTGGCCAGGCTGGTCTTGAACTCCTGACCTCGTGATCTGCCCTCCTAGGCCTCCCAAAGTGCTGGGATTACAGGCATGACCCACCGTGCCCAGCCTAAACAGCTGATTTTTAAAGCCCAAACTGAGTGACGATATACATTGTCTATTTAAGAACTGTTTATTCTTTCTTGAATAATTATTTCTGTTTCTCAGCCTCCTCATTTCAATTTTCTTCTTGGAAGATGAATTCTAGGTGTAGCAGAAATGCCTGAGAACTCATGGAAGCAAGGAAGTGTCAGGCCCTTGGATGAAATGTTCACTGTCCCCTCTGATTTCTAAGGTTATATTTTTTGTCCACATAGGTACTGTTTGCCCAGCTGGCCTGGAGAAGGAAGACTGATGACATAACCTAATCTGATCTCTTAGTATCATTGGGAATAGGGAGTATTCCTCTACTGATGGGCCTCATCTAGGCTTATGCTGCAGTTAGTACAATTCTCTTATTTGAGCTTGGAGAGTCTGATCTGTAGCCCTGGAAGGAGAGCCATCCCACAGCAAGGTCCTTCTGCTGACTCCCTCCCTATATCATCAGATTTCTCCTGTGATAATTCTGCACACGCAAAAATGTCCCCCAAATATCAATGTCATACAAAGACATTTATTTTTGTTGTGGGTCATAGGTTTGTGGTTTGGCTTAGGTGGCTCTGCTTTCGGCTGAGGGTCTGATTCGGGTTTTTTCATATGCTTAGTATTCAGAGTCATTGCTACCCAGGTTGTGATCTTCTCATAATGGAGACCAAAAGAGCAAGAGGGACCACCAGAAATATGCAATGTCTCTTAAGGCCATGGCTCAAAACTGGCACACTGCCACTTCTACCTAGAGCACACTGGCCAAAGAAAGACATACGTCCAAACCAAAATCAGTGTATGGTGGTCGGGTGGAGGGGTGTATAATCCTCATACTCTGGTCAGAAGCACTAGAAATTTACATGTTAAAGGCCTTAAATGTATACTTCTATGAGAGAAGCTAGTGAGGTATTGGGAGCAATAATTCAATTTACCATATTTCCTCCAGCAGACTCCCTAGACATATTGTCATCTGGTTCTTGGTCTTGTCTATTTTATACTAGCTAAGCTCAAGAGTTCTTGCTACAGAATCACAAAGATCTGCCATGTTGACATGACTGTGCCTTGCTCTCCCCTCTTCATGCACCTTACTGAACCCTCCTTCCCCTCTCTCAATCTTCAACAAGAGACAGTCAGGCCAACTCTTTTGTCTCAGCATCTCTATTCTTCAAAACTTCTAATTCACTCTGGACCAGAAGACATTTCTACTATATCATTTACTTTCTCTTTGGTATTTTAACTTGCTGCAAAATACCAAAATTGTAAACAAAAATATTTTAGGTATTAAAATCATTATGTGACATGAGTCTTCCAACCTCGAAACTAAATTTAAAAAAAAAGAAAGAAACTCAACATTTTTCTCCGAAATTAATTCCCTTGACTGCAAAACTAGGGACCAAATATGTAATCCTATTTTTCACACTTGATCTTAGCCGAAAGGCTGAGAAGCAATGTAATCCTATTTTTTAAGGTCAGCAGCTGAATGCCAGGTTTTTTTATTACATTTTTCTCATTACATTTCATTGTAACACATGATTATTTTTCTCTACATATTTGATGACGAGAAACATATTCTCTGTAAAGCAAAAACTAAAAGCACCTTCAATTTTTATGGTCATTATGAGAGGTGAAGCCAGCTGGACTTCTGGGCTGGGTGGGTACTTGGAGAATTTTTCTGTCTTACAAGAGGATTGTAAAACGCGCCACTCAGCACTCTGTAGCTAGGATTGTAAAACTCACCAATCAGTGCTCTGTAGCTAGCTAGAGGTTTGTAAAATGGACCAATCAGCACTCTGTAAAATGGACCAATCAGCAGGATGTGGGTGGGGACAAATAAGAGAATAAAAGCTGGCCACCCCTGCCAGTAGCTGCAACCCGCTTGGGTTACCTTCCATGCTGTGGGAGCTTTGTTCTTTCGCTCTTCACCATAAATCTTGCTGCTGCTCACTGTTTGGTTCCATGTGCCACCTTTGAGAGCTGTAACACTCACCGCGAAGGTCGGCGGCTTCATTCTTGAAGTCAGGGAGACCACGAACCCACTGGAAGGAAGAAACTCTGGACACAATTATATATACAAGGTTTTTTGTCTTTCTTTTTTCAAGTGTTTACTCCTTGAGGGTAGAATATATTGTATGTAAGGTTCTTTTTTTGGGGAAATAATTAGAATAACATTTGGGCAAAACCAATAGATGACAAGAGTAATGCAATAGTAATTGTTCCCTTGAAAATTAATTCCTGGTAAGGAAATAAATATTGATTGAAATAGCACTTACATTCTTATTCTGGAATGGGGTGTGCATAAGGAAAAAGGACAGGAAGATGGAGAGAAGATTCTGGGGGCCCAGCTAAGGCAATATGTAGGGAAGAATAGAATCATTGTGGTCAGAGGAGACATGTTTAAAAAGTACATATAAACCAAATAAAATTTGCTTTAATACATACCTGTGACAGTATACTCATATAGATTTAAGAAAAAAGAGACCCATCATGTGTTTAAGACAAAGGCCAAAAAAGTTAGCCTTATCCATCTGTCCTAGAATCTATAAATGATAGATTGTCTTGTATTCCTCAAGACTGTATTCTTCAAGATTCAAAACTTTGGGCTTGTTCTGAAGGGAGATGATTATGTAGAGACCTTTAGAGAGCACACCCCATTTCCTTCGTTATAAAAAGTGTAATTATTTGACGCATTAGCAGGAGAGAACAGCCTGATCTGGCCTATAATAATATGTATTAGTAGTGCAAACTAATTTTGTTAGGGGTAGAATATTTTTCAAATATATCTGCTGAAATATTCAAAATATTTTATTCTGTTGTCTTTAATTGGTAGGATTTAATTTTATTCAGAATATTAGTACATTAACCCAATCTACTTTTAATTACATTTCCATTGTCTGAAGGTGAGGGTGTAATGTGTGATGATATAGGGTTAATGCCAGTAATAATTTTCTTATAAAATTTTTAAAATATCCTGTTGATGATTGTCTTTCTATATGATTAATGCAGAAAGAAATATTGTAAATTTGGTATAGATGTTACGGATTTCACGACGGAGAAACAAAGTTTTCTTAAAGACTTGCCATCCAATGCTGTCTTTTTAAAGGTGAGGAGATAGCACTGTTTCCAACAGACTACAGGCCATCTCATCATGCCTGTGCTATGCTGGCTAGCTAAATCTCTTTCCTCACATAAGCAACACTTTTTGTTTTTAAATGGATTGTTTTGAAATACTCACAAATACATGTGTCATTAAAATATTAGTACAATTAAGTCAGTTTTATATTTTAAATAAATCCCGATCATAAGTTATTTTTAATACTTCCGAGGTTTTGGGCACTTAATTCATACTGGTGCCACTAAGTTATACAAAAAAAAATTGTGTTAAAAAAGACAGAAAAATAGAAGTACAGGGACAACAATCTATATTAAAATCTACTTTTTTTGCTTGATTCCAAACACTAAAAATATTATATCCTCTGATAACTCTTGTAGTCATGCCTACCCCAGAAAAATTCTTCAGAATGTTAGCAGAAAAGAAATGGATGCATGTCCCTAGATAGCTATGTGTTTAGTGATAGCACTTGTCTCCCTGAGGAAGATTCTCCCAAACTTTAGGACTTTTTTTACCCCAGCTCGTGTACTTTTAATATGTATTGGACATTAATTATAGACACCTTATAAGCTTTCTAGTGTTATATCACTGCTCTGTCAGTTTATTAATAACATGAGGAGAAAAGAAACTTAATGCTTTGTTGAACATTCATTAGGCACTCTATCAAATATTTAATGTGTGTTATCTAGTTTAACCTTCATAAAGACCTAATAAAATAGATTACCAAAAAATAGAGAGACTCACTATGTTAATGCAGACGATGTAAATTATTGTACCATTTTGAATTGTATTCCTTAAAAATGCTTTAGTGATGTTTCAAAGCCAGTGTGGTAATGGCGATGGATTGGAGATGAGAGGAGCGAGTATGGAGGGAAGAAAGAGAATAGGTACTGAGAAGATAAGAATGGTGGTGCCAGAGAACATCTGAAAAACAAGATGGTGGGGTAACTTTTCTGCCTTCTCTGCTAACACTCAAGAGGTTACATTGCCAATAAGTACTATGTATTTCAACATTGTCATTTACATTTCCTTCAAGAAAGAAAGATACTAGATACTTTTATGCAAAACATTTTCTTGTCTATTTTGTAATATATATGTGTCTGTGTGTGCTCACGTTGGGGGCACTGGCATGTAAAAAGAAAGAAAAACTTTACAAGGTTTTCACTCTCCTAATCAGAAGTTCAGTGAGATATGATTCCATTAATGGAAAATCAAAAATCTATCAAGTTTTAAATCAAAGTCCAAATATGAAATTTAGCCTTATATATCAAAACCTCAACAATTCTCACATGACCTTTTAGGCAGGAATTAAATTCCTTATATTCTAAAATAAGAAAATGATGCCAAGTTTAGAAAAACTTTTATTTGGAAAAACATTTAGTGTATTTTTATATAGAACAGCAAAACACTGGAAAAATACTAAGTGCTCACAATAGCATTATATTGACAAAATAATCCACATATTTATAAAGAATATATATACATGTATAGCAATGTGTATGTGAAATTATACATACAAAAAGCTGTTTTAGAATTTTAACAATACATATAGTTTCATATCATGTTAAATGGAAAGCACAGGACCCAATATTATACAATAATTGAGAGGATCATATTTACATAAAAGAAAAAACATAAGATAAGGGACCTACAGCAATTTTTTTTTTTACTTTTAATTTTTGTGGATACATTGTAGATGTATATATTTATGGGGTACTTGAGAAGATACTTTGATATAGGCATGCAACGTGTAATCATCACATTTTGGAAAATGGGATATCCATAACCTCATACATTTATCCTTTGTATTACAATCTAATTGTACTCCTTTAGTTATTTTAAGATGTACAATTAAATTATTATTAACTATAGTCATCCTGTTGTTCTGTCAAATTCTAGGTTGTATTCATTCTTTCTAACTATTTTTTGATGCCGTTTACCATCCCTACTTCTCCCTTAGCCCCAACTACCCTCCCCAGCCTCTGGTAACCATTATTCTATCCTTATCTCCAGAAGTTCAACTGTTTTGATTTTTTTTAGCCCCCACAAATAAGTGAGAACATGTGAAGTTTGTCTTTCTGTGGCTGATTTATTTCCCTTAACATAATGACCTCCAGCTCCATCCATGCTTTCGCTAGTGACAGGATCTCATTCTTTTTTATGGCTGAATACTACTCCATTGTGTATATGTACCACATTTTCTTTGTCCATTTATCTGTTGATAGACACAGGATGCTCCCAAATAATGACTATTGTGAACAGTGCTGCAGTAAATATGACAGCAAAGATATCTCTTCAATCTATTGAGTTTCATTCTTTCAAGTATATACCCAGCAGTGAGATTGTTAGATCATATGGTAGCTCTAGTTTTTTGAGGAATCTCCAAATTGTCCTCTTTAGTTGTTGTACTAATTTTCATTCCCACCAACAATGTAGGAGGGTTCCCTATTCTCCACACCCTCTCCAGTGTTTGTTATTGCCTTCCACATCCTCTCCAGCTTTTGTTATCATCTGTCTTTTGGATAAAAGCCATTTTAACGGGGGTGAGATGACATCTCATTGTGGTGTTGATTTGGACTTCTCTAATATCAGTGATGCTGAGCACCTTTTCATATGCCTGACCAATATCTTTGGTTATTTCTGAGTAATGGGATTATGTCTGTCCGTAACCCCCATATTTTTGGTTTTATTTACTTACCTCTCTGTATTTTCTAAAATGAAGAGTTATTACTTTTATTTTTTTAGAAAAAATTGTGCATTTAAAAATGATAAAACTTATCTTTCTGCCTCATTTGCACTTTACCAATTAGAGAAAAGAAATTTTTTTAATTAAAAAAGAAGTCTTCCATTTTGAAGATGATTAAACTTTTTCAAATTATTTGACAAATTTCTTACCAATGTCAGGATGTTCTTGTAGTTTAGTCTCTACTTTAACACATTTCAACATCATTTAATAAAAATGAACTTGAATAATTAAACTTATTCCAGGCAGATAATATTACTTTAACTTTGGACAATATTTGAGATAAATAAATATGTACAAAAATTCTAAAGATAAATATGAATATATTTAAATAGCTATCATAAATCAAAGAATATAGGCCTCAATGATGTACATACATTCGATGCACAAGTATTATATAGAAAGTCCTAGTGTTGCCAAGTGCTCTATCATTACCATTATAGAAAATTTTTTAAAAGAATATCTGTTTGAGTCATTTTGGATATGAATACTTCCTGAAATCTAGAGTCTAGAGAAAGGAGTCAGTGAAGAAAGGACTAGGTTTTGAAGTTGAATGTTGGTGTTACGTTGCCTTACCGTTGCACAGTGCTTTAGGTTTTCAGTGGTCCTCCATACTCAATTTATATTATAGTCACAGTGCCACTTTGAAGTACACAGAGCGGATAATGAATTTCAGAGAGTTTATATGGTTTCTCAGTAACCCATATGTCTCAAATCTATGAACAAAGGCCAGATATTTTAGTCATATGTTTTTTCCAATGTTGGTTACATCTTCCCCTGAAATAGCATAGGAGTCAACTTGGATTATACATTGTCAAATAGATCAAGTTAACATTTCTTCCCTTAGTTCTTACAACCCTGTGTACCAGAGCACCACCATCTCATTTCTGAAACATCAAGGACACCCAACAAGTGAGCACTCCACCAGTCAGCTCTGTGAGAAATGCTCTACACTAGGCCTTTCAGATCTTATTAAAATTGGCAGCTACCCTCACGTTTTGTTCTCTGATAGGAGACAGTGAGCTAAGTAGGATGTACTAATTCCTACTGATGTATAGAGAGACAAAAGCATTATCTGTCTCAAGGGACATTTGTAACTTAATATTATTTTTCTTTCTAAAGGCAGTTCTTTAGACTCAGGTAGAGGAGATATTTTGGGTAGTAGGAGTACGATCTCATGGTATGAGTGAATTTATGTCAAACAGTGGTCAGCTTCTCTGTCTAAACATAGGACAAAAGATGAAATCAGGAATTTACAGGAACATACACTTACCTGAAAGTTTTTCTTAGTTTCTGTCTAAGATCCTATGATTCTCACCTACTATTACAGCAACAAGTTTCCTAGAGCATATTCCTCAAGTGTTCCTAGAGTGCAGAAATAATACTAATTTTCTAATCACCAATAAAATTCATTAGCTAATGTTTTCCCTCAAAAGTCTCAATCAACATTTTACTCCAGCACTTTCAATATGTAGATTCAATAAAATAGTCTAAAAGGGTAGGCACTGTACTTAAACAGTGTGTTATAAAATCTGTTCTGGCCTTATGAAAAATGCATGTTGTATTCATACAGAAGTAAAGAGGCTGCAGGATTACCGCAGCCAGAGTGGCCAGCTTTCTTCCTACTTCTAAGTAATAGATTTGAATTTTGTTTTGTTTGTGACCATTAAAATGTTTCCATAAACTATCCATCGCATATGCTGTTGATTAAAATAATTGAGCCACAGACACATTGGACACAAAAACAGTATTGCCTTTGAAGTTTGTTAACAAGTGGAAGATGTCAGTCTTTGCAAGTATGGGACTTTATAGATCAGTTTAATAAATTTCTAAATCCTTTATGACTCAAGTGATTAGGCATTAGAGCTAATTACTCTTAAGTATTGTTTTTCTTTAAGGCTTACTTTCTACTTTTTCTCATTCAACTGAAACAATTAGATTCGCCAAGAGAAATGGGTAATGTCTTTTCAAATCATATTTCCCATAACACTTAGTTTCCTACAGCAAATCATTAAATAGTCAACAGATGCATTTAGTTTTTAGTCTCTATACAACTTCATGCAATTATTTTGAAGGGCAAAGTGGCGGGTTTTGTTTTTTTTTTTTTTTTGTCTTTTACTATCAAATATCTTCACTTGCCCCCAATTAGACAGACAGGTTATTAAAGCAATTGCTTTACTTGTGTGCAACTTACATCTACTTTCTGTTTCAACATACCAAGAGTCAATATCAAATGCCATAAAAGGTCTTGGAGTCAGTAAGAAAAGACATTTGAAGTTCACTTAGGAAACAAGGAAATGACTGATCGTTGATCTATGCAATGAAGGAACCATTCCTGTTAATAAGGGTGAGCACCCAACAATTATATCACCTAGGAAACTACATGCTCCAGGGTTGACAAATTATTGGGAATCCCCCTCCCCCAACTGCCTTTTGTTTTATCTCTGAAATATAAAGCAAGTATACTTTAGTGACATGATTTTTTTTTTCTGGCACCTTTCCATAGCCAATTCCATTCATGCAGAAAAAGGATGAAATTCCATCATTCGAGCATGACATCTCAAAATTCAAACTTAATGAGAGCTTTGGCAGCTTCTGTCGAAGGCAGACAGTGATTAACAAAACACTTCAGAGTACAAGGCACAGCAGTGCTCAAAGAAAACAGTGATGATCTCCACTTAATTGTAGAAAAGCCCAAAGCATCTGCCAGCCGAGGAGAGCTGGAGCCATAAGGAGCTATTGCTCAGATAGGCTGTCATCTCCAGAGATCAACAACCATATGCTCAGCTCAAGCACAAACTCCAAAGAAGTTAATTTTCTGACAAAATACAGGGATAAATATGACATTCAAACAAGTGTGCTCACTCATCCTGAACACACGTTCATCTGCACGCATCAGATTTATGCATCGTTTAAACACAAGCAAATATAATTTGTTTGGAACACAAACATTGTTGCATGAGTACAGGTATAATTAATCTTTGTCTGCTCCACAGGTTCTTGTGTTCTACCGGTTAACCATGCATTCAACAAACTTTTGATGAATGGAGAAGTCACTTGTTGCTTCATACCTAAACATATACCACATTCTTTCAAGATTCTGAAATTAATGCAACTTATTTAATTCAAGATGAAAAAATAACTTATTTTACCTATGAATTGAAGTTTGTGTGTGTGTGAGTGTGTGTGTAAATTTAAAATCATCTCTCTATATCAACAGATCTATCTATCTGTCTAATTTACCTCTGAATGCAAACATAGGATCTTGGCAAAACCTACCTTGGACATAGCCTAGCAAACACAAGGAAAGATGTCCAGCTAAAAAGCAGATGCATCTCAGGAAAAAGTTACCAGAAAGTTGCTTGTTAGTACCTGTGGTCATGGGATAGTAAGCAGAATATGAGTATTGAATATAAAGTCTACAAAAATAAAAAAAAATAAGAGTTTACATTCTAAAAAATGTGATTAAAGAACAGAAGGAGAAACCCCATGTATTTCCATAATTTAGAGGTGGAGATTCCTCTTATATTACCTCCTCCAAAAATGCAACATCTAGCATCAGATGGATTAGAGTCGGCAGACTATCAACTGTGTATGTCTTGAAAGCAGGTGTTTGATTTAGCATTTGCACACTAGTCAAACAGTAGTTAAGTTTTTAGAGGTGAATAACAACGATCCTCATAAAAACTAAAGAAAACATCTGCTAGCAAACACAGTGATTCAGTAGCAAACCTAATTTCTGCTTTAAAAAAAAAAAAATTCTAATGCCCTTTCCAAAAAACAATGAGATTTCGCCTTTGTTTTTCTCTTCGGCTTTTTCCAAGATTACACATTGAAGCTAAGCATTCATTTATTTCTAATTACAGTCACTCTATGATGAAAACTATAATATCACTATTGTCTTTTCTATGTATAACATTTGTTAGAGTTTCGGTTAACTTACTGTCTTCTCATTTTGTATTTTTGATGTTATTGTGTGTTTATCATTTAAAATTTTTTTTAAAAAATTCTCCAATTATAGAAGTAGTTTATGTTTATAATAAAGAATTTGTAACATGTGGGCAGGTGCAAAGAGAAAAGTTCAAATCATCCATAAAGCCACGATCAGCAAAAATTAAAACCAAAGAAAACAGTTAATTCTGATAAATTTCTTCCATATATGCACATAATACTCATAATGTTAAACTCACATTAAAATATAAATTTAACTTTCTGTTACCTCTCCCTATATTGTAGTCTATATATTGAGGATTTGCTGTATCATCATATAGTATTTGAAAACATTTTCAAATTGCTACTGAATATTTCACTGTATAGAAATACCACACTCATTTTAATTATTCCCCATTTGGAGTTTTTATATTTTGCTTTTCATTATAAATAAAATTATAATGAAATTCATTATAAAATTATTCTTTAAAAAATTATTTTAACTGAAGTTTCTGGACAAATTGATCAGATTATTTTAAGACTCATCATATGTGTTACAAATTTTTAAGACTGCTAATGACAATTATATTTTTACTGGCTGTATTTTATTACCATTAAATGACATCTTCATCGATTTTTTTATTAAGCCATGTTCTAGATTATTATATCAGAGATTTGTGGTTCAAGGAATAAAACCAAATATCACAAAACTGATTAAAAAACTTCCAAAGTAAGGTGATTTGAGCAGAAAAGAATATTCACAAATCAATTTAAATAGAAAGCTATGAGAATATTCATAATTTTACTTTAGAATTGAAATACAAATTTTGAATGAAAATGTACACTTTATAAATGATACTACAGTAAATAAGTAAAACATTTATAAATGAACAAAAACAATAAAAGTAATGCAAAACACTTCAGAGGCAATCTAGTATAAGGAATATCTTGACCCATGTGTATAGTTTATCCTCCAGATCAAAGAGTTTATGTTGACTTGAGATTTTTATAGACTCATGTTCATCTTCTAGCATGGATATATGCTCTTTTGAATAACTTTGCTT
This sequence comes from Homo sapiens, assembly GCF_000001405.40. NCBI lineage: Eukaryota > Metazoa > Chordata > Mammalia > Primates > Hominidae > Homo > Homo sapiens. Next base: position 91,883,455 of record NC_000005.10, on the reverse strand, counting down.
GAACATTCTGAACCTTAACTATTGTAGTGCTTTTCCTGCATCTTTTCTGTCAAACTTCATAAAAATAAGTGGTCTGAATCCCACTGCTTCTATTATATTTCCTCACTGCCTTCATCCCACTTAGCTAATTTGACTTCCAACTCCACAGTCCCACTGAAAATACTCTTTTATACATGCTATTAATTTGTCTTTCTAACTGTCTTTGGATTACTTCTTGAATTATTTCTCTGTTTGGATTTCCTCCTTCTTGAAACTCCTTTCTAATGTGTCAAGCACATTCTCCCCTGTTCCTTTGCCCCTCTTTTTCCTTCTTCTGAGAATATTCTTTCCTTTTTCTCTACATCCAAATTGCTTTGTTTGTTTTTAACAGCAAAACCAACACCTGCTCTTTGGAGCAAACATGATTCCAACTCCAAAGAATTCATAGCACAAATTTTGGTATTGATAACATATCACCTATTAATACTGGTTTACGAACATGTCATTCCTCTCAGAATTAAGTATATAAACTGCCTCAAGGAAGAATGCCCAAGAGTCTCATATTCATGCATTTTGGTATATTAATTTTCCTTTTCAAAGTAACCATTATCATTGGCTCAACCCAAATATCTTCTAAGGACTAGATAACTGGAGTATCTCTCACAGTCTATAATGAAAAGTATCTCCTCGGCAGTCATTCCCAGTCCTTTATGTGTCATATGATATTTGTCCTACCATTCTGACATTACCTTGAGAATTCTCCTGTAAAATCTTCAACTTTAAAATAGTTAACATTGTATCTGCTATGTAGCAAATAATGAATACATTGGTAATGCATCCTCTTTTTTGTTTGAGTCCTCAGTATTTACTACTCCATTTTCTGTGGAAAAAATGCCTTGTACTGTTGGTCTCCAAATATCTGACTTATCTTCCTGTTTGTGGGAATCTCTTCCAGCATTGTGTTGTACAGTCAGTTCTGTTATAGTGGTACATATACATTTCTAAAAGTCACCGTATTAGCAAAAGCATACAACAAAGTCACTAGACTAGGCTTATGGGAAAAAATGGGTCCAGGAGCACAACTTAATCGGTGACACATCTTTAAAAAATAGAAAACTGACAAAAACAGTAGCTTAGTTTTACAAATGTCAAATTGTGAAGAAATGCACAAAAACTACAATAAATGTGGCACTTTATCTCACACCTGAAGCTTGCTTATGGGTGAGTGATAACAAGGATACAGCTTGTGAGTTTTTGTGTAGTGGTAGGAGGGTTATCTGAAACCTGATGGAATGTTGAAACAGCAGACAAGAAGATCATCACTTCAGTTTTCTCTAGAATTTTCTAGCAAAATCATGTCTTCTTCTGCAACAGTACTGTTCATTTTAAAAATAACTCAGCCTTTTTACCCTTCACTGTGAGACACACATAACTTGTTCAGTGTCGTTTGAAGCCGTGAATTCAGATGTACCGACATCCCTTGATTGTCAAATGAAAGTTTTACATATTGTAAAGGGCAGAAGTGTACGAATGTAAAAGTAAGTTGCGGGAAAAGCTGACTTACCTTTTCAGCATGACAATCCCTGTCGCGCTTCTGTTTATCTATCAATCCACATTTACAGACTCCCAAGGAGTTCCCTATGATAATTTGAGGAGAAAAAATTGAATTTGGTTTACAGGTGACTTTGTACCATATGCTGGCTCCAGCCAGAGTGAACCCTCAGCACAGTCTCTGAAGGATAAAGAAAATCTTCTGTTGGGTGATACTTTGTATGGCACATCTCATTGCCCACTTTTCCTGGAAGGAGATATAGTCATAAGAGAAGTAAACCTTTATCCAACAGCTACACAGTAGCTGAAATTTGGTCAGGTCATCAGGGATTCAAAATATTTGAGGATTAATGACAAGCTGTTTTAGGCAAAATGTGTCTGGGTGGAGCTCTTGGCATATTCTCAACATGGGAGGGTATTTGTGTCCCACAGAACAATGTTTGCTTGCCACTACTGTGGAAGAGGCTCTCAATAATCAGGCAGACAAGAAACTTCTCTGTGAATGGTTTCAGCTTCTTTTTCACAGTAACCCCCTAGGTCAGTATGTTCACAATGGACTTTCAAAATGCTGCTATAGCATAGATAAAGAATATATATAAGCCCAGTGAAATGGACTCTCTTTCACCCAAACTGATCTGGCTACTTCCACTGCTAAGTGTCAAGGTGTTAGCATGATAGACCAATTTGAAACTCTCAAATTTTGCCATAAATCACTAGACTCAATCGTCCATTTTCCTATTACACGAAACTCTTTCCATCATGGGGAGATCAGAGATTTGACTCACTAAAAAAAAAACAAAAAACCTTTTCTGTATTTGGATTTTTCTTATCTACCTATGTGTCTACCATGTGTCTGCCAGCAAAATAATCTAATTTCTGACTCGATGTCTCATTCATCAGCATCAAGGAATTTGCTTCATAATTAAGAAAGTTATGTAAAATACTGATGCCTTTAAATTTTAGTTTCTTACTGTAACCATTACCCTGAAACAGCAAAGTTTCTAGAATCGAACGATGGTCTATTAACCAATATGATGTTAGTAGATAGACAATGGCTTGGGCCATTGGAGAGCTGTGATACATAATGAAGTGTCTGTTCTAAACCAGCAACAGTATACAGAAAGAAAGAGTTGCCATTTATGGAGATGAGAAAGATTGCAGAAGGAGGAAGTATAATAGGGAGATTCAGGATTTCTGTTTTGACTTTGAAGTTCACATTTGATATCAATGTGAAGACTTCAGAGAAAGAAATCTGGAAAGGATGTATTCATTTGTGTCATCATCAAATAGATGGTATTTAAAGCTGGGAGACTAAATGAACTCACTCAGGCAGGGAAAGTTGACAAAAATGAAAAGTTCAGTGATCTTGTGGCTCTCTGGAATTAGCCAAGGAGACTAAAAGGAGCAACAAGTAAGCAAGTCAACAGAGGTGACAGTGTCTCAGAATTTAATGGAAGAAAGTGTTTCAAGAAAGAAAGGGTAATCACTCATGTCAAAAATGCTGCTGTGAAGTCAAATAGGAAGAGAACTGTAATGCAATCATTACATTTTGCCACATGGAGGTTACTGTTGCTATGCCAATTGTTTAAGGGAATGGATACCAATGAAAGCCTGGTTAGAACTGGTGCAAAGGAGTTTTGCAGGAAAATTCTTGATAGCAAGTACATATGCCACTGCTAAGTATATACCCAAAAGAAAGAAATCAGTATCTTGAGGAGATAACTGCACTCCCACGTGTCTTGCAGCACAATTCACAATAGCCAAGATTTGGAATCAAACTAATTGTCCATCAACAGATGAATGGATAAAGAAAATGTAATACATATACACAATGGAGTACTATTCAGCCATAAAAAAAGAATGAGATTCTGTCATTTGCAACAACACGGATAAAACTGGAGGATATTATGTTAAGTGAAAGAAGTCAGGCATAGAAAGACAGACTTTACATGTTCTCACTCATTTATGTGAGCTAAAAATTAAAACAATTGAACTCATGGAGACAGAGTAGAAGGATGGTTACCTGAGGCTAGGAAGGGCAGTGGGTTGGTGGGGTGGGGGGTGTGGGAAATGGGGATGGTTAGTGGGTACAAAAATATAATTAGATACAATGAATAAGATCTCGTATTTGGGCTGGGCACGGTGGCTCATGTCTGTAATCCCAGCGCTTTGGGAGGTTGAGGTGGGTGGATCATTTGAGCCCAGGAGTCACACCACTGCACTCCAGTCTTGGTGACAGAATAAGACCCTGTCTCAAAAATAAAATAAAACAAATAAAATCTAGCATTCTATAGCACAACAGGGTAACTACAGTCAGTGATAATTTGTTGTAAATTTTAGAAAAACTGAAGGAGTACATTTGGAATGTTCATAACACAAAGAAATGGTAAATTCTTGAGGTGATGGATACCCCATTTACTCTGATGTGATTATTATTCATTCTATGCCTGCATCAAAATATCTCATGTTCTCTATAAATAAATATATAGACCTACTATGTATCCAAATAAGTTTTTTTAAAAACCATGTTTTTAAGATTTCTGAGGGAAAAAAAGGGTGGGGGGGTGGATTGGGCATAGAAATAAGGATAAACTTACTCTATGTTATCAGGGAAGGCAGAACACAGATAAGAAATGCAAGTATATTGATAGGCATGGGAGCATATAGAACTTTGGCCTGCTCTATTGTCCCTGAAATAGGTAATAAGGTCACCAGAAGAGTGTGATTATATGGAGCTGGCATAAGAAGTTTGAGGAGGGGGCTGGGCGCAGTGGCTCACACCTGTAATCCCGGCATTTTGGAAGGAGGAGGCAGGTGAATCACCTGAGGCCAGGAGTTCAAGACCAGCCTGACCAACATGGCGAAAATCCGTCCCTACTGAAAATACGTAAAATTAGCCAGGCGTGGTGGCAGGCGCCTGTAATCCCAGCTACTTGAGAGGCTGAAGCAGGAGAATTGCTTGAACCTGGAAGTCAGAGGTTGCAGTGAGCAGAGATCACATCACTGCACTCCAGACTGGGCGACAGAGCAAGATTCCATCTGAAAAAAGTTTGAGGAGGGAAGAGAAAATAGGAAAGAGTAGTTGAGAAAAGGGGAAGTGTGGAAAGTGGAGTAGCTCTAAGGACTTGAGATTCATCATCTTGTATGTCTGATTTTTCTCTAAGTCTCTTGCAGCTCTTCATATGCAGGCATGGAGAAGGTAGAGTGTTATTTACAAAACGAGCTAAGGATTTTCTAGGCCACTAAAGATGTTGGGAGACACACTCTGGGAAAGATTCAAGAGTGTGATGATAATAATGGCCCATGTAATCTAAGCAGAAGAAGGGGAAGAGAGACACATACTTATCTCACCCTGGTGCAAGCACTTAAATTCCAAACTTTCTGCTCCATTGATCTGGGCTAATTAATTGCTTATTATTAGCATTACTAAATGCTTATTATTGTCATTTAAGCACTTTTTCGATGTTCCTTGAAGAGTAAATTCTTTCAAAACACAAATAGTATGATCTTGGCCGGGCCCGGTGGCTGATGCCTGTAATCCCAGCACTTTGGGAGGCCAAGGCGAGCGGATCACGAGGTCAGGAGATGGAGACCATCCTGGCTAACATGGTGAAACCCGTCTCTACTAAAAATGCAAACAAACAAACAAACAAAAAAATTAGCCAGGCGTGGTGGCGGGCGCCTGTGGTCCCAGCTACTCAGGAGGCTGAGGCAGGAGAATGGTGGGAACCTGGGAGGCGGAGCTTGCAGTGAGCCAAGATCGCGCCACTGCACTCCGGCCTGGGGGACAGAGCGAGACTCCGTCTCAAATGAACAAACAAACAAAAAAACACAAATAGTATGATCTCAATAGTAACAGACCAAAAAAATGACCACTGATTACCTTTTACTTTTTTGAAATAGTCACTTACTCTATTTCTGATCTACGAAAAGGTACAAACATTGGGTGGTGGACTTAAACATGTAGCAAAACATTTTCAGGAGATGCAAGAAGAGGAGAGAAAGAATCATGGGCTTTGAAATCACATAGACCTAGGTTTGAATTCTGACCCAGCTGCTGATTGAGTTTCTGTCACCAAAGCAGATAAGTAAAGCTCTCTGAACCTGAGTTTCCTCATCTTTAAAATGAAGAAAATACCTACTAGGCAGATATAAATATTAGACAAGATAATAATGTATATTACTTGGTACCTTGCAAGACAGTTTATTTTTAAAATGTAGTTACTTTTCTCCACTGTCAGCTGGCACGCCTAAATTGTGTTACCTGAAATGCTGGTTTTCCTGTATATTAATTGGGGCTGTGTAATAAAATGATTTCATGGTCAGATACATTTTTAAGATATCGTGTTAAAGAAGAGTAAACAGTTTTCTTGATTGTAGACCTTCTCCAAAAGTTTGATATATTAATATGCCTCTTGAATTTTGAGAGAGAGTTATAACATGCAAAATTTCCTATACATATTTGACAGGATAATCCATTTTTCTTAAATATTTAATGATATAAAATGCGTATTTCATAAGATATACTCTACTATTCATTCAAGGATAGCCAAGGACCATATACTTTATTTAGTAGTTTTAATGTCCTTTTCAAAGACTATGTCATAGTTTTAAAGACCTTACATAGTATTTTTCTGGGAAAAAAATTTTGCAGCCTATAGATGAATCAAATTAGAAACTCACTTTTAAGTGTAGTCTTCTTGTACGTAGATAAGTCCTCTGTATTTCAGGTTCAGTTGCTTCCTCTTACTCAAATAATATCTTTATTACAATAAGTAAGGTTGGTGCAAAAGTAATTGTGATTTTTGCAATTACTTTTAATGGCAAAATTTTCATACCTGTAAAGTTTGAAGGTAGGGACACAAATCATATCGGATCTCCAATTTTTGCTAACTCAATGAGTTTTCATATAAGCTATTAAATTGTTTTTGTTGGATAATACATTAAGTAAATGTGCTCAGATTATCCCTTATGCCCTACACAAAAAGGTTGTCAGGTGATAACTGGGTGGATCATTGTTGGCAGAGATTTTAAAGAAATGAATAGATTTATAACATATTTGAAGAAGAATACAAATACCTGGGTTTTTTAAGCAAAATAATATTATTCATTAAGTAAGTACATTAAAAAAACTTTATTTTAAAAAGTTGAAAGCTCTTTTTCTTTTTTTCCTTATCTCCTCCTCAGATTTAACTAATTGTTCTAGCAAGGACCAGAAAGTTACTCTTCTTATGTCTTCCTGATCTTTTCCACAGTTAACCAAGAAGTGAACAAATAGCAAATAAAAGATCATCACTTTTTTACATAATCATTTTTTCCTGGGACTGCACACACATTGTGGTCTGCCTTAACCACAGAAAATTGCCATTTTCTATATCCTCAGGTTAGTGTGACATTAACTGGAGCATCACATTCTGCTAGTATCTCTTTCCCTTATTATTTTTATGCATCTTATGCTATTTTTAAAGTCATGCTGTTGAACTTGACTGAATATGAGTGAATCCAAATATCAACCTTTTAATATGAATAAAAATGGCAAGTTGCAGACAAGCTCTTGTTGGTTAAATCTGATAACAGAGAACACAGCCTATGTCCAGTTAATGCTAGAATGTCCTATCAACCAGATTTCCTTATAAAAGTACAGGCATAATGGTACTGTTGAAGTCTAAATAAATTCAGGAAACATAAATGTTTTGGGTTAGTTTTGAGAAGGAAGTAAAGTTTCCAATATATAAGATCCCCTGTCAACTTAAATATGATATAAGAAAAAAAATTATAACTGTATCTTCCTAGGTAATTTATCTGTCAGATTTAGATTGTTAGTTTCTAGTTTGGATGGAACAAATCTAAGGGAAAAATAATATTCATTCTCACTTTTTTGTTATTGGGTTTTATATTTGCTCTCCTTATTGAGCAGTGTATATAGCCAAGTTACTTAAATTTTCAGTAACCCATTTTAAGAAGTGACCACAGATGAAAGGGGACCTCTTGGCATTCATCTTTTATAAGTTTTAATCTGAACAGTTGACGAAGAAAAGCACTGATAGCCAGATGCCCCCAGAGTCCATGGTCCTTGACACAACATATTTAGAGCATCAAACTCAGGTGCGTGCAAACCAGATTCTTGGTCTGCTAGAGAGAAATATCCTTTTCTTCATTTTGGGCTAACCTTCATTTTACCATTCAACTGAAAATAATGATATTTAATGTGAGCTATATAAAGACTTATTTTGCCTTTACAGCATCCTGTGCTCTAAGCAATGTCAATCCATAATTTTTATTTGGGCGACTCACTTTCTCTTTGAGCCTGTGGAAGAACACCAGCAGAGGGAAGAGTACTTAGTAGAGTCGCAGTATATAAATCGCTCTGCCGAGAGCATTACAAAAGCTCTGTTGCGCTATCACACAGCAGAGCCAATAATATACAATATGAAAAATCCCTGCCAAGTGCACAGAGAATACAGACAATGTTTGCTATTTCTCGGATCGGCTGTTTGTTATGTGTTGTAAGAGTTTACAGCGATAGAGTTAGAAAAGTCCCACACCCCAGCCTTTCTACTGTAACAATAGCAACCCCAACAACATAAACACACACACACACACACACATACACATACTCTTAAAGACATCGGAACATCAACAAAAAAACAGTGGGTGGTAGTGGGATTTAAACACAAACAATTCTATAGAAACAGAAATGGAATTTTCACAAAGCACCAAAGCCTTGTATAACCACTTCCTTAAAGATGTCCTCTATATTTTCTGAAAGCACATCAACTCAACCACTTATAAACAAATTAGGATGTCAGAATTTTTAAAGAAAAATCATATCTTGAGATACACATCTTATTAAAAATACTAAAACAAAGCCATTCATTCTCCATGAAAAGTTAGTCTCGTCTTTTCTGAAGATAGACTCCAAAATCAGCATCACTGATTTTTGTTTTCAAAATATGACTCAGGGAAATAAGATACTGGGAAGCTACACATCAGATTGTTTTCGACTTTATCTCCTATATTTGAAGATGTGTTTGTATCTGTATGGCAGACAAATACGTGAATATATTTTCTTGGCTTTCTTGATTTTAACTGTTATCAACAAGCATTTTCTAGAAAAATTATTAAAAGGGATTATATTTTTATTATAACAGCCTAAAACAACAGTGCAATGATAGCTTTTAAAATTTCTCTTGCCTTCTTACTCAGATCTGTTTTCCTTTCCATGAATCTTCCCTCCTTTATTTCACCACTAGTTTTCTTAGACACTTCTTCCTCTTCTGCTTCTTTCTGTTTTTCCAGTTATTTCAAATTTCATTTGTAATCCTGGTTCTGCTTCTATCTTTATTTTACATATTCCTACGTCTGGGTTCCTCTCTTCTTTCAGATTTCTACTTCTACTCTCTTCTTTTCTGTTTCTGTTTTCTCTTTTTTTCCTTTTCTTTCTGTTTTATACTATAAATCCCCCTTTTTATTTATTTATTTCTCTATCTCTTGGAAGCATAAAACAGCAGTAAAAAAAAATTTTTGTAATGATGCCTGGTAAATTTTCTCAAATTGTAGAGAACAAAATGTTTAAGCTGTATCATTCCAATATATGCAAAGTTCTTTTAGTGGAATCTAATCATATTTTACAGCCCAGTTCAAAACTCCCTTTTACTATGAATACTTCTTCGTCTTTCTTAGGAAAAAACATTTGTTCTCCTATTTGCCCCCAAAGAACTGTGTATACATTTCTACTTTAGAACTTATTGTGTTATAGAAAGTTGTTCACATATTCACCTGGTCTAGTAAAGTATAAACAACCTGGCTGGAAGATATACAGCTTACATATCTTTTTATCCCCTTTACCCAAAATGATATCCCAAAGCCAGTATGTCTTCAAAAAACACAAGTTCAAAAACAAATGTACACAGATTGTGGTAAGTGCTGCTTGCTATTTACCAGAGACTCTACTTAATCTATGAAATCTTACATTCCTGACTTATTGTAAATAATTCTTCATGGGGTGCTGAAACAACGCATTTAAAGCCCTTAGCACAGTGGCTAGCACATAGTAATTGCTTAATTTGTGTTTGCTGTTTGCTCCTTCGGGAAGATGGACCTTTTCTGATCTCAATGGCTTTGAGGTGTAGTTATAATTTATCTTAAAATAAAACTGTTGGAATTTCCCAAACACTTCTTTTTGCCAACATCATCCTGCAAATATGCTACTGGATGTCTTGTTAAATGATATATAGATTCCCTAAAGGTGAAGTTGAAGACTTGAAACTTTTCCGTAATGGGCATCACTAGGGAGTAGGAACTCCAGATGGTTCATGGCAGAGCCAGCTGTCCAGGGAGCATTGTTTGATGAGCACTATGGCCCACAGAGAACAGCAAAAAGGTAGGGGCCCATCTGAAAGTGTGTCTCAGTGAGGGGTAAGCTTACATGCACATCAAATATAAGATTCACTATTTGATCCATTCATGGGTCATTTGTTATTATACTATTCAATGTATTATTGTATGATTGTAAATTCTACTACATTAAAACACGAGCTAGCTAACCTTTGTTTATTTGTTTTATATATATCATGCTGTCCTTGAGAAATCTATTTTCTTTTTAATGCACTTAAGGAAAATAAATCCCAATAAATCTGAATATAAATTATACCAAGAACATGAACTTGAGTCTTGGTGCTCTATCTGAAGTAAATATATCTATACAACAAATGATTCTTCACTTCACACATTGCTCCTGACAGTCCATTGTTTGTACTATGAGTAGAAATGGGAGAAAATTTCATAGGGTTTTCAGCTGGAAATTAGGACATTTTACTTTCATTTCTTGTCTCACATACTCAATTACCTTTTCAAAAATGTCCCTAAATCCTCAAATATCTGAAATTGCCTAAAAGAAAATAATCCGAGTTTCTTTCTTCCCACAATTGCCGTAAACATATAAGCCTTTGTTCAGACAGTACCCAAATCGATTATTTTCCACTCATCTTTGTCTATTTCTCTACTTTGTACTTGTATTATTATGCTTTTGCCCTGAAAGATACCGCTCTGCAATTAAGTCAATTGAAACTCATCCTGATTTGTTTTATAAAACATATTTCCTATTTTCTCAATATTTTTATTTTCACTAGTACTTTTCTCAACTAATCAGCCCTTATAATAGCTCTGATGTATGTATTTCTAGTATACGTGAAATAAATGCTTGGCTCATTTTCTTTTCTCTGATTGTACCACTTTCAGAAATACAAAGCATTGCCCTTTATTTTCTTGTGGGTCTCTACATGGCCTTACCTCCTGGCCTTCCTTCCCTCCCTATCCAGCCTAAAACCCTTGGTCAATGACTTAAACCTCTCTCTTATGCTTATACTTCCTGTGCCCATATCCTACAAACACTTATCCCTGATAAGATTAGGCATCTACTGTCTTCATTTCTACATGCTGAGCAGTGCTGGAGAAAAATCACAAAATAATGATGCTTGGTGCTTTTACAAATATATGGCTTCTGATTTTAACAGTGCCCTCCAGGTTGATTGGTAATTGTAATATCATTTTTAAATACCCTTTTCATTTCTAGAGTATCTGTTCCAAAATTTTGTTATTACCTTGAAACCCAGTATTAAATGTTTACTCGCTCTCAGTATATACTTGTCTCTTATTTTGTAGGGAAAACAAAGATCATCTAAAATTCATTTCCTCAACTTTCTGCCTCTTACCATTTAAAAAAATGATTTATCCTCACATATCATACTTCATCCCATACTGATGCAAGAAAAAAAAGATGGCCCTATTGACGTTCAGGAATACAACTTTGCCTCCACACTAGATCAATTGTTTTGCTCCATGATCAAGTTTTTACTGATTGATATCATAAAAAATAAAATAGGACATTTTTCATAAAGTGTTCACTATCAAGAATTACCTTATTCTGAAAGATACCTTTCTACTTTTATTGGCATTGAATATCTTGTTTTATATATTAAAGGGAAGATTACATGAAATTGATTTCTTTAACGTCTTTCCTTTGAAATTGATTCTTTCAATTATCTTCCATTTGAAAAAGTAAGAGAAAGAAGGAAACTAGATACACAAAAACATTTCCTGTTTGCCCAATGTCTACTTTAAAAAATTCTGCTACTTGTTAGAGTCTTACTTCCTAAGGAATAATATACATTCACTGTCTCAATTTCCACAGTTTCAATTGACTTCTTCACCACTAACATTTGACTTCTGTTCACCAAAATCGCTTTCATTAAGGTCAGTAATCACCTTCTAATCACCAAGACCAAGTGACACTTTTAAGTCCTCATTTTTCTTGATCCTAAGGATACCCTTGGCACTATTTACTATTCCCACATCTTTGAAAGTTTTTTCTCTCCTAATTTTGGTAATGCAACATTCTCTTGGTTCTTTTACATGTATTTGCACTTGAGATCTTCCTTATATACAAAGTTTTTAAGCTTCAGTGTTCTTCAATGTTCCCTTCTTAGTCAATTTCTAGTTACCCATTATTCACTCTCTGTGTAATCTCTTTCCTAACCCTGACAACTTCAGATACTGTGTATCTCCTGACACATCTATTTATACAACTACAAATCTCTGTTATTAACTTTCCACTATGCACTTTTACCCAGATATGCTGCTAACTTCCAGCTAAATGTGCTCAAGCTACAGATCCTCTTTTATTCTTACGTGTTTTCTCCCTTCATACATTATATCAAAATGGTACTACCCTCAGACTAGTTGCCCAAGTCAGAAACCTACTTCTCCCTTTCTTTCACTTTCCTGCCAGTCAGTTACCTAAAGCAATTTGCAAATTATTTCAGGCTTCTCCATCCAAACTAGCACCACTTTAATTAGTTTCCTCTTGATTTCTTGACACGATTAAAGTAATATCATTCTGATTCCAATATATCTTTCAAAATGCACTTCGAACGAACCTTCTAAAACTGTCATGGTTTCTAGAATCTACACGGTAAGTCCATACTCCAACCATGCTTTTCAAAGCTCCCTCCAGCTGTGTTTCCCAGCACTCTTCTACATCTTTCTGGTCTTGCCTTACTAGACTGTTTAGTGCACCCCTCATGGTTTCATGCTTTCCTTTTCTTAGAATGTCTTTCTCTTTCTACCAAATTCAACATTCAGCTAACAGTTTTCTCTGAGAATACAGCTAAAACTGGAAGCTCTTTCTGGGGAGACTTCTTTGATCTCTCTTCAAGTATTTGAAACATAGCCTATTAAAGGATTGCTTACTTGCCTTTGTTCAGCAAGAAGTTAGGAGCTTCTTGATTGAATATAAGAAGTTTGTTATTTTCATCTGGTCTGGAGCCTGGTTTGGAACAACCACTTAAAAGATGTGCACTGGTAGATAGCATTCTCTTTTCTCAGCATTGAGCTTAATTTCTCTTCTTGGTTTAAACAGAGTACTAGATTCCCCAATTGATCCCTAAGAGTTTCATAAGTCTTTTGGTCGTGAACATTTTAGCTAGGTTGCTAATGGCAATGTTGAGCTTTTTTATTTAAAAACAATATTAGGTTTCACTCACAAAATCATTGGGGCAAGCTGAAGCCTATTCATGGAAAAATAAATTAACAGTGGAAATAGTGGTGTATATTTGGCTGAAGCTGTTGAAAATGTATGACACTCTGTAGAACAGCCCATTTATAAGCTGATATTGGCAACACCCCAAATATCCATATTACTAATAATATGTTTGGTAGACAGTTGGTAACTGGTTTGCAAACTTAATTGGAAATAGCTTTTTGAAATTAAGGGCTTTTGATGTCAAAGGAAGAACTTAATGAAACTAAATTATTTTCCTCAAATATTCTGTCTTCCTATTAAGAAAAGTGTGAGTGGCAATGAAAACCCAATTAATTCAAAAATAGTCTTTTTATTCTGAGATTTTAGAATTGTAACCACATTCTATTAGACTAGTTACAGATCTAAATTCATTTTCTCATGGAAGGTTCTAGGGAAAAAGTATAAAATATGTGACTTTTATCTTTAGCAGTGTCATAAGTCGCCATTGCAGTGTCCCTCGCCTCTCTCAAGATGCCCCTCCTTATAAAATCCGCCATGTCTCTAGGCACCCAGACTATATTTCTGAAGGTAGACTAAATGGTGCAGGGACCAGAGTGATAAGAGTAATCAAAGGTTGAGGGGACATTTTTTCATTAGAATTTCTATTTAAACATGGGACTCTAAGACCAAAAAACCTTTAGGACCCAGAGGAATTATACTCAACTGTGTATTTTAGACTCTGACTAGAAACTAGTGGAAATGTTTTTGCTTGGGGGACTGGGGTGAGAAGAGGAAACTATTTAATTCTGGCTGAATTATAACATCCACTCATGAGACCAGATGCATTGCCAATTTCCTGGAAAACATATCAGAACTGCTCTAAAGATGGTCCTTTAGCTTACCTTTTAAAAATTACTCATATATATTTTTCAAGATAGAGTAAATTAGCATTAAAAGATGTGCTGCTGAGCACAAAAAATAACACTGAGCAACTAACAAACAAGCAAATGGAACTCATGAGGTGACAAGTAAGGGATCAGGGAACACATAACAAAAGTTTTAAAGATTTTTCCATAGAAAAAGAAAAAAAGAAAGAAAGTTCTGAGGAATGCTTTGACTCCAAGAGATGTCAATTGGTGCTTACCTGAACACATACTTGGGTTGAGGGGTACAGCTGGCAGGGGGGCATGAATAACTTTTGAACACATCTATACAAGTTACTTTAAGCCACAAGCCCCGCTCATTGCTGCCTCAACCCACAAAATAAAAAAGCAAAGATAGATAACATTTAAAGTAAGGTAAATGATAAAGGGGCAGTATCTTGAATCCATCATCGACTGTTTCCTATGCTTGTAAGCCACAGATTTTGGAGTGGGAGTACAATTATTAGAAGATTTTTATGTTTCTCTTCATTGAGCTGAGGATCAATAGCATATGAACTGAAGGGACAGTTTTGCCAGAGTTAGAGCATTTTAATAAATATCAACTTGGTAAGCCCTGGTGGAAATTTGAATTGCTATTTACAGATGTATAAAGTAAAAAGAAAAAAAATGCTATTATTTAGAATTGTATTTGAGTGTTGGACACCCATTAATAAATTTTGGATTAATTCAAAATATTTAAATAATAAATATATCTTTATATTGTGTCTTATAAAGTAGTTTTTAAGGCAGATCTATGAATAGGATATTCATCATTGTAACACCAGTCTTCAGCAAAATGTCCAGCATGCAGGGGACTCAATAAATATTTCCTACATGAATGGTGAAATCCATAAATTGCACTGATTTATGCTGCTAATAATAATAAGGGATAAATACTTACAGAGTGATTACTATGTACTAGACATCAGAACTAGCACTTAGAACAATGGTTTTCTGTGTAACATCTTGCTTACTCCTTACGGCAACACTATGAGGTAAGTTCAATCATGATTTTCAGATTAAAAATAAAGTAAATGAGATACTAAAAGATGAAGTAATTTGTCCAACTAGTGAGTGACAAAGTCACACACAGGCAGACTGATTCAAAATTCCTGTGCTTAGTCACCATGTCACATATTTTCTAAATCTTATGGTGTCTTTTTTTGACACTCTTATTTGCTTTTAATGAGTGACTTTTCAATGATAAACATTGTTATAAATACTGAGGTTATGAGAATTAACCAAATACAAAAGTCTGCGCTTTCGTTAACCTTATTATATTGGGGAGAGAAATGGAGAAGAGACACAAAATAAATAAGTAAATTAAAAGAAGGTTAAAGCAGAATAAAGAGGACATAGTGTGACCATACAGTTTGCTATTTTAGATAAGGAGCCAAGTAAAGCCATTCAGTTAAGGTGGCATTTGACAAGAAACATGAAGAAAAGAGGAAGTAATTTACACAAATATGTCAGGGGAAAATGTCATAGTCAGGGGACAGGAGTAAGTGCAAAAGCACTGGGGCAGAACAGCAGTTGGCATCTTCAGAGAAGACTAAAGTGGCCATTGTGGCCAAATCAATGAGAAAGAAGGCAAGGAGAAGACAGGGAGAACAAAACTATGCCAGAAGGAGGCCAAGGACCTTTTGGGCCATAAAACAAAGACTTTGGATTTTATTCTGAGTAGGTTAGGGAAACATTGAGGGCTTTGAGGAAATGATTTTTAAAAATAAACACATAGAGACATAACTGTTGATGTTATACAGACAATAGACCATTCATTACAGATTACATAGAAATATGAAAACTATATCTCCAGAATGATTACAAATTTAAAAATGTTATTTCTATAACTCAGTGTCTATCAGGCCTAAATGTTCTAAGCCAAGATAAAAACTATAGTATGATTCAATGTTTAAAATTCTATCAAGCAGGTAAAACTGAAAAATAATGTTTAATAATATTAATATATACAAAGTGATAAACCAATGAAGAATATCATGGACAAAAAAAAAGCAAACAAAAACCTCAGTAAGGTTGCTACCTTATTGCAATATATACAATGTAGCACAAGGTGGATATGATTAAGGAAAGATATATTAGAAATTCTAAATTACTGAAAATATTCTGTTTCCTTGCAGATAATTGGTACATGGGCGTTCATTTCATCATTTTCTTCTTTGAGTCTATGGTATATTTTTCACTATTATTTTTTTAAGAATGGCTGGTAGGGTAAGATGAGAACAGAGAAAGTATAGATAATCTTTAAAGAACCTTCTGAAAGAAGGAGAGAGAGTATTAAGAAGAGAACATAAAGTCAAAACAATTTGTGTAAGATGAAAGAGACCGTTTTAATACCACTGAACAGTAGCTAGAAGAGAGAACATGATTACAGATCCAGGAAAGACAGAGTAACAAACAGAAGCAGACGGAAGGAGGGCAGAAATCAAGAGAAATTTGCACGTATTCTTTTTTCTTATCTATTAATTGACAAATTTTCTTTCACATAGATATATGTGTGTTAAAATGCCTAAGGAGATAATCAAACCATTTTTGGAAGGAAAGTATAGACTAAACTCAAATGCTCAGGTACCTTGTGATATATTTTTTATTTCTCCTTTCAAAAATCTTTATTACAGAACATTTTCAAAAATTACTAGAGTAGACAGAATATAATGAAGCTCCACATATCCATTATCCAGATTCAACAAGTATAAACAAATGGCAATTTTATTTCATCTACACTCCCATTTACTTCTTCCTCTCCCATGTTATTTAAAGCAAATCCTGGATAGCATCTCATTTAATCTGTAAACATTTCCAAATGCATCTCAAAAACATTAAGTACCCTTAAGAAACATATCTGCAGTGCCATCACCACACCTTAATACATTAAAAGTATAGATCAGCTAAATCTTTGACATTGATAAGACACCATCAGCTCTCAGCCACCAAATCTGCAGATTTTCCCAAATGTATCCTATTCTCTCCAACTTGACCTTTTTCAAAATGGATGAATGTGTTCTTCCAATTCTTCCATTTGTGTTCTGAGTCACAAGTTATTCAAGTTAACATGTATTCCAGGTAATCAGTAGTTCTAGACTCGTTTATCAATTAGAACTTTATTACAGTAATAATTAGAATAACATTTCATAGAAAGGGTTAAAGAAAAATTGAAAAGAAAATAAATATTTAAAAGTATCCAAGTCTTTTCTAAAAAATTTATAGTAGAGATGAAATTTTGAGTGTTCATTGTGTACCCAGTGCAGAAAAAGAACTCAGAACATGCACAGAGAAGCATGTCAAAATCATTCAGTTTGTTCCCAGAGCTCTGACACCAGCTGACTTAGATTAAATAGCAGTGAGCTGGAAAAGCATTCTGGGTATTGGTATGCAAATGAGTTCACCAAGCATTTCTTCCTGTGGCTTTGGAATTCCCACAGCCACAAATACATGAAACATATATTTTTAAATTGCATTTTAAGCAAGTAAATACAATGCTAAAACTGTCCTTTTCATGGACCAGAAATGATCCCAATGGACATAAAAATATTTTCTAAGAGGAACAAAAGTAATTTTTAAAAGATGGGATTATTTTTAAAGTGTTTTTGAAGATACATGGAAGCACACACATCGAGCATAATTGTTTATCCACAATTGCAGCCTCAACACATTGTAATGGTTTTCTCTGAATTAAGCCATTTCTATTTAGGTATTGTTAAAGAAGACCATTATCAGCATGTGTACAAAGAAGCTGAAGATCAATGATTGTTTGGGCAGTGAAAAAACATTGTTCAAAAAGCCTCTGGAGCATCGGGTTGGCTTTTTAAATAAGTACTATCTCAGTCATTTAATTGTATGAGAAACTAATAGTGCTCTGAAGCAATAACTGATTTGGAAAAAAGAAGAAAGAGAAAAAAATTGCAGCACAAAAATTTACATAGAGAATTTTACAGTATATTTATATGGGACACTTTGACTGTCAACTACTCTTACCCTAAAGAGAATGAATTATAGTAAAGTCATCTCTGGCTCAGATGAAATATTACAGCAGCAGTGCTTTAGTAATGTGACACAGCTTCTTGATTTTTCTTAGCATTTAACTCCACCTCCTTCCCACTCTCCCCTGCCCTTAAATAAAGTAGTATTCATTCTAAAATTATAAACTGAAATGCAGAATGCAAGCCATTCTTCTTCCTGTGTAAGCCAAGATCACTTTGCAGTATACCCCTGCAGGGGACCTAACAGGGAATTTCCAAAAACATTAATGTATTCAGAAGAAATGTCAAAATAAAGAAAGCCTGTAAACATTGTCTGTGGGAAGCTTTTTTGTGCCCTTCCCGAATGCAAAATGAACTCTCATTTTCCCACAGAAGTAGGATCTGTTTCTGCCATCTAGTGACAATAAGGCCAATGGGTGCTTAAGAAAGAAACACATTTTCTAAATAGGTTTAACAGATCAATCCAAAACAACTAGGGTTTTATACATATACACAGTTACAAAGGCACACACACACACACACACACACACACCCCTTTAGAAGGGAGTCTTTAACAGGGTACCCAGGGTGTAAGGGTGTCCAGATGTTCCTGGTTTATCTTTGAAATAAGAAAGCAAATAGATGACTGTACTTATTACATGCACAATGCTTTTAACGTTGTCAAATCACTTTGCACATATGTTCATTTTTTCATCAGAAGAGTCCAAGAGCCAGTTTGAGTACTGATTGGGAGTGTGAGTTCTAGAATTCAAAGCTTACTTGCTTCCGTATTTGAAATCTTGTTAATGACCCATCCAAGTATGGGATTCAGCTCTCCTAATTACTAGACTTTTGTTCACTGGCTATAGCTCATATACATCGATATATTATGTGAGGTTACATGACCACATTATGATGAAAGCAAGGAGATGAAAATTTAGCTTTCTTTCCAAAGTTCTAATTATCAAACTTTACAAAAAATATTAATATCTGTAAGCAGATTAGAATGATTTGATGGCAAAGACTCCTGTAGTTATGGAAGCTGAGCGGAGAGGATCACAATCTGGAGGACAACTTATTACCTTTTAGAGATTTTGGTTCCCCAGCCAACCTCAAAATTTGAGATTGAAGGATTAGGGAAAAAGGAAATAAAAGCAGTACGTTACTGCTTGCTTATTTTCCTACAGTATTGCTCATTTTTCTCCTCACTTTTACCTAGCAAATAAAACATAACCTCTTTATTTAAGTCAAACTTTTCTTTTCCAGGTCAAAGAAGATGGGAAAATTCTAGGAAGGGAGAGATGGCTTTTTCTAAGAATATGTAAATGTAAATTCCACCCACAGACACAGGAGAGAAGGCTAAATATCTAGACACAGGTGCAGGCCAGTGGAAGGGCCCTGTGGAAATCTTTATCTTCTCTCTGCAATTTATTTTTCTGATACAGGGTCACACTCTGTTGCCCAAGCTGGAGTGCAGTGGTATGAACATGGCTCACTGCAGCCTCAGCCTCCTGGGTCCAAGTGATCCTCCTGCCACAGCCTCCCCAGTAGCTGGAATCACAGGCGCACACCATCACATCCAGCTAATTTTTAAATTTTATGTAGAGATGCAATCTCACCATGTTGCCCAGGCTATTCTCAAACTCTTAGGCTTACGTGATCCTCTTGCCTTGGCTTCCCAAAGTGCTGTGATTACAAGCATGAGCCACCATGCCCGGCCACCTCTCTCCACCTTTTATATTTACATATATCTGCTTCCAAGACAACGTTCTCCTGATTTTTATCCTACATCTATGGCTGCTCATTTTCATATTCTTTACATATTTTCTCTTATCTCCCCAACCCTTCCATGTTGGAATCTCAGAAATGCATTCTTTGGACCTTTTTCCCTTTTCTATCTATCCTTACTCCTATAGGGATCTTGTCCAGCCTCATTGCCTTCAGTACTATCTTCAATACTAATGCAGTAACAATTCACAAATTTGTACCTACAGCCAAGAAAATTTCCCTAAACTCTAGATTTGTATCTCTAACTATCTCATTAGGTTCTCCATCTGAAAATATGAATGGCATCTCAAAACTAATATATTCAAAATTGAGTTTCCTAATACTTCCACCAAAACTTGTGTTCACCTTCCCATTTCCAGTGGGAATTCCATCTTTCTGGTTGTCCAAACTGTTCGTGTTGTTCATGATGATATGATTTAACCCTATCAATGTAGCTGGGCCTAAGACTACCACTGGATTTTCCATTCAAAGTAGCCAATAACTTCTTGTCATTTGCCACACCAAAAAAAGTCTTTACTATTATCCCTCTATATGCTTAGCCAACATCTCTTCATCATTTTGATGGCAGACTGGAAGTTTTATCTTTTGAAAAGCATTATTTGATCTCACAAGATTGGGTCAGGCATCCTTCTCATATGATGTCAGACATGTACTTGCATACTGATGCTGTGTCATAGTGCAGATAAATTGTTTAATTACTCAATTGCAAAATCTGAAAGCATAGGTTACATCTGTGTTATTAATCATTGGCTGTCTTTTGAAAAGTGCATGTTAAAAATTCAATTAATTTTGTTTCATTATTCAATAATTATGAATCTTAAATTCAGCTTTTTAATCTAGCTATGTATTACTTTTAAATACCTAAGGTGGGCTGGGCACAGTGGCCTGTAATCCCAGCACTTTGGGAGGCCAAGGCGGGCTGATTACCTGAGGTCAGAAGTTCAAGACCAGCCTGGCCAACATGGCAAAACCCCATCTCTACTGAAAATACAAAAATTAGCCAGGCATGGTGGCGGGCACTTGTAATCTCAGCTACTTGGGAGCCTGAGGCAGAAGAATCGCTTCAACCAGGGAGGTGGAGGTTGCAGTGAGCCGAGATTGTGCCACTGCACTCCAGCCTGGGAGACAGAGCAAGATTTCATCTCAAAATAAAATTAAAAAAACCTAAAGTCACAAGTAAGAAAAAATTTAACTCAAATGTTTTAAACAATAAAAAAAATCGTTTTATATAACAAGAAGTCTCTAGCAGCAGTACCATTCCAGGATCAGTATAATCAGAAGTTTAGCCATCTCATGTAATCCCAGCACTTTGGGAGGCCGAGGCGGGCGGATCACGAGGTCAGGAGTTTAAGACCAGCATGACCAACATGGTGAAACCCCATCTCTGCTAAAAATACAAAAATTAGCCGGGCATGGTGGTGTGTGCCTGTAATCTCAGCTATTCAAGGGGTTGAGGCAGGAGAATCACTTGAACCCGGGAGGCAGAAGTTGCAGTGAGCCAAGATCGAGCCATTGCACTCCAGCCTGGGCAACAGAGCAAGATTCTGTCTCAAAAGAAAAAAAAAAAATTTAGCCATCTCATCAAATATTTCAGTGTGTTAGATTTGTCCTCAAAATGATACACTCACAGTCATAAAGTGACTTAAGTAGATTGAGGCATCATATCCAAACATGACAACATTTACAGGAAGACAGACACTATCTCTTTCTTAAGTCTCTCTTTAAGACTGATGGAGCGATGGAATGTTTTTCAGAAGTGCCCCCAGACTATCTTTCATATATCAATGGCCAGAATTTGGCCGTTCCTAAACTAATTCCTGGTGAGAAGGAATAGAAACACTTTGCCTTGGAGTAATCATTCAGTTACCATATCATAACCTTTAAGTCTGACTTGTCTCAATCTGACCAAATGTGTAATAGTGTGATGCCTTTCCAAGATCCATAGCTGGAAGTTAAATTACTGAGCACATCAACCCCAACTCTCAGTGGCTTGCATGAATTTATTTAAATAAGCAGCTCAGTTTATTAAGGTGATAGCTCTCCTATCCTCATTGCTCCATGGTCTGAAATGTGAATGAGTGATATACATGAATGACTCCATTTCCAAGTATAACTGCTAACATATTTTTTTCATTTTTTTTTAAATTTTTCTTTAAGTTCTGGGATGCATGTGCAGAATGTGCAGGTTTGTTACATAGGTATACATGTGCCATAGTGGTTTGCTGTGACTATCAACCCATCATCTAGGTTTTAAGCTTCTCATGCATTAGGTATTTGTCCTAATGCTCTCCTTTCCCCTTACTCCCTAACCCCCGACAGGCTCCTGTGTGTGATGTTCCCCTCCATGTGTCCATGTGTTCTCATTGTTCGACTTAGAACCAATCCAAATGTCCATCAATGATAGACTGGATAAAGAAAATGTGGCACGTATATACCATGGAATACTATGCAGCCATAAAAAAGAATGTGTTCATGTCCTTTGACATGGATGAAGCTGGAAGCCATCATTCTCAGCAAACTAACACAGGAACAGAAAAACAAACACCACATGTTCTCACTCATAAGTGGGAGTTGAACTACTAGCATTTTTCTGGTCTGTTTCTACCTACAGAATTTCAGTGTGTGGGTCTTCCATGCTGGAATGCATGTGCCAATTCCTCTGCAATCTGCTCAGATCCCTCTTGGTAGATGCTATCCTGGTATAGAAGCAGAGAGATAGCAGATAGGAGAACGATACTCTGCCTACCTTTCAGATTAATGCCTGCATGGTAGAAGATGATGGACAACGGGCTCAAATAGAGAGCGGATTATGTTTCAATAAATTTAAAATAAAATAGAGAATTAAGTAGAACTCAGCAAATTGATTTACTTTGGCTATATGATGGAAATTCTTAGCTTTTCTCCCATGATGGAATAAATATCATAAACTCAATTAAACGTCTAAGATTCCAAAGGAGGCATACTCATCTACAATATTTTCCAAGCCTCAATGGGCAAAGCTACCCAAATTGGGTGTAATGGGCATTCCTGATATCAATAATGGCCTCCCTCTTTTTATCCTAAAGCCATCTTTCTCTCTACTCTCAAGTTCACTTAAAATATTTCACAAGGATTTCCTATACAGATGACTAACAGTTTTTGAACACACACTATGTATAAAGCACTAGGTCACACAAGTTATGTTATTTAATTCACATAACCGTGTGACATGGGCATGCATACTTTCATTTTACTGATGGAAACTGAGGCCAAGAAAAATGGAGTTTTTGTACAAGATTACCAGGTAATTGGCTGAGCCAAGCTATGAACCTATATCGATCAACCTTATACAAACTCTCATTGGATAGAAAATGGAATTTTATGGAATTAAAAAATTTTTTATTTCATACGTAATTCCAAAATGGGGTCTCCTACTTACAAAAACTTTGCCAACTCCTAGTGTATAGGATCAAAGTGTTATAAAGACAGCTGAAGTGTGTTCAGTAACTGTTATCGGTCAGGCATAACAGTTTATGCTGTGGTAATAAACAACAGAAAGTTTGTTACTTGGAAATAATACCAAGCATCTGAGTTCACATGTCATTATTCAGAGTAATTCTGATGTCCTTGCCTATTTTAAGGGAATGAAAAGTCATAATCTTTTTCGCATGACCCCATGAAGCAGAGATCCAGAAGTACTGGTGAACATTAGGGTTGTCTATGAGTTAACCACTTGGATAATCTGTGCTCTTTTATTTCTTTGAATGTGGATTCACAGAGTTGAGGAGCAACCTCTGCCTAATAACATGGAAAACAGAAATTTATCTGGCCATCTTTGCATAGCTAGTTCCATATTCCTACATCATATATTACATCTGTGGGTGCTGCATTTAAATAAGGTCTGAAATGGGTCTTTCTACATATATACTCCAAATGAAATCTGTTGTCAAAAGCCAAAAATAGAAACCTTTGAGAAAAATAGATATACTTAGCCTAGAAAGAATAATTTTATCATAAAGGAACTTCCTAAATAAAAGAGGCAGATATATTTATTTATCTTTATTCCTCACTTTTCTTTAAAACACTTTATATACTTTATCATTTTTAAAGTTACAAAGGAAATGTGCCCATGCCGTATCATGCTAAATAATACAAACACATTAAAATGTTATTAGACAACACTTCCCCAGCTCTGCTACCTCTGAGTTATCCAATGTTAAAATTTTAGTGTGCATTACTTGAGATATGCCTCCATGCTCATAATAATATGGAGGGATTTTTCTCTTAACAAAAATTGGTTCATGTAATACCCATTTTTCTACAACTGCTCTTTTCTATATCAAGTGCATATTTTCAGATCAGGATATATTAATATGACTCATTCATACTAATAGCTACAACATATTCCCAATTAAAATTGTACCTTAACTTCCGCAACGATGTACCATTCATCTATTTGCAGATACCTAGATTATGTCCAGGTTTTTGCCATTATAACCGATGGTAAAATAAATCCTATTGTATATGTTTTATGTTTTATGTTTTATTTTATAAAAATTCCTAAAAGTGAAGAGGGTGGGTCAAAAGATATATGCATATGTTTAAATTAAATAAGGTCATGTTATTTTCCAAGTGTTTACTGTACTCACATACATCATTTATTGTTGATATGGTTTGGCTCTGTGTCTTTACCCAAATCTCAAGTGAAATTCTAATCCCCACGCGTTGAAAGAGGGCCCTGATATGAGGTGACTGGATCATGTGGGAGGATTTCCCACATGCTATTCTCATGATAGTGAGTTCTCACGAGATCTGATGGTTTAAAAGTGTGGCAATTCCCCCCTCGTGCTCTCTCTCTTTCTCCTTCCACTTTGTGAAGAAGGCTCGTGCTTCTCCTTCACCTTCCACCATGATTGTAAGTTTCCTGAGGCCTCCTCGGCCATGTGGAACTATGAAAAAATTAAACTTCTTTTCTTTATAAATTACCCAGTCTCAGGTAATTCTTCGTAGCAGTGTGAAAATGGGCTAATACAATTGTCTAGCTTGGATTCTATCTCAGAGGTATAAATGGTAGGTGTGTTTCTCTTGTATCTCTATAAAATTTACGGCATCTAAAGATTTGCTTGTAACTTTTATTTTTGCTCATAAAATATAAATATAAGTTATCTCAAGAAGTAATCTAAGGAGGGAAAATGGAGAGAACAGCTGATAAAGAGATAAGGGGTAACTAAATTTTTAGGCATTCTATTTCACTAGAATATACATGAAATCTTGACAATTTCTTTTTTGCTTAACCAACTAAGTATAGTTCAAAGACCTCCACCTCATGACAAGAGACATGTTCCAAGAGAATACTCATTATTTCTTCAGAGGTTGATACACATTCAAACAAAGGATACTTGTGGTAATCTATTCTGTCTACATGGACCCTATTAACCTAGAAGAAGATCAAGTATCCTGTTTTAAAAGAAATTCTGCATTTATAAATTGCAAAAACATTTTATCTTCTAAAATATATATAATTGGGTCTTAATATAATTTCAGAAGTAAAACAAAGAGAAAATCAAAATCAGAATTGTATGCCACAGCCTGAATATCGTGGCCAAAAGGATAAATAAAATTAAGGACATTTAAGAACTGACACCACAAAACATAATGAGAAGAAGGAAGTGTTTTCCCCCTCTATTTTTCTATGCCATCATCATCAATGGTCAATTACAACAATTCATTAGAGCACTACAGTAATGAGAGTTAATTGGTAGATTTCACTTTTGTGTGGCCAGTGAGCTATGGTCTGTTATGTGATCACAGGCTCTGACCCAATCTCGTGTATATCTCGTTATGTTTTCCAGGGTCTGAAGATGCTTGAGGACAATGAACAGATAGAATAATTAAAATCCACCACCTAAAGTGGAGAAATGGTGTAATGGTTATATAAAAAGCATGTCTTACTAAGAAAAATTAAGCAGCAATATATTCTGATCTGGTGAAGAACAGCAAGTTAAACATGACAAAATTCCTGGCTTAAATGATTAAAAGTTCAAAATCAACCTTCTAAAGTTTTATGTCATTTTTACATACCATGGTATTTTAAAATTCAGCCAAACATATTCCCTTCAACATTATTATGAAACTACATATTGTATATTCCTTTCCTAGTCTTCGATAGGACTTCCCAGAAACAGACTCTAATATAAGCCACACATGCAAGTGATTTATTAAGAAAGACTTCCCAGGAGAAACCTAGAAGGGAGTCAGGGATGCAGGGTATAGAAACAAGAAGCAGTTAAGTAATGGAAGATTTCAGGCAAGCTCCCACAGAGGGTAACTTCAGACTGATCTTGCAAGGAAATTCTGGGATGTAAGTTTATCATAAGATTGTCCTCTCCGGATGTAAGAAAGCGGGGATTTCATGAGTCAGTCAATCATTGGCTTATGTGCTCCTAAGTAGCTCCAGTAACTCGAGGGCAGTCCTCTGAAGAGAATTGCAAGTGCATGCTGTTAGACGCAAAAACACACGGAAAGTGAGAAAATAGTGTACAGAGATTGTAAATGGGATCTGCAGGGGTCTGAGTAGAACACTGGCAGTGCTGGCTGCAATCTCAAATATTTTTTTAACATCACCCAGAAAATTTCAAAACCAAGCACTCCCTGCATCAGTGTCTTTAAATTGGGTTATGCTGTAGTTTAAAAGAAAAATAAAATCCCTCAATGGCTTAAAATAAAGAAAGTTAATTTTTGTTCAGGATACAATTAGAGACCAGCGGTGGGGGGGCTCTGATCAATGAACTGATTCAAGGATCGAGGTTCTGACAGTGAGCCATCATCTTAAATGTTATCAGCTACTGCACCAGAGAGTATAACTCTAGAAGATTCTGCTCTGGTAAGGCTCCGAATTGACACACGTTACTTTCGCTAATAATTCATTGAGTGGAACTGGTTTCATGTCCCCCTTCCTGCAAGCACAGCAGGACCTGAAAGTGATGTAATAGCACAGGCTTGAATGGTGAAAAGTTGGAAATGCTGAGCAAGTTAATAACAAACACAATACCTGATTAACTCAATATCTAAACAATCATTCTTGAATAAGGCAGGGTTATAAATAAGTAAAAATTTTACTACAATTTTTAAATTGAAATTAAATTGTTTAAATTATAGAATTAATTACAAAAATTAAAAATTTTCAAATTGAAATTATAAAGTCAAGAAACATACAGATGGCTCAAAAAGATGAAATAATTTCTGCATTATATTTGGTGGAGTTGATTTCTGTTAAATCACAAATTGGAAAGTAGTAGACTGGAGATCATATTGAAAAAGAGAATGTTAGATAATGAAATTTAAAATGTAGATATCTTTTAGAAAACTTATATTAAGAGGAATAGGAAGAAAATAGCAGAAGAGCTAGAAGAAAAGGTATATATTTTTCGAGAATAAAACCAAAATTTCTAAAAATCCCCACATCAGAAATGGTGGACCAGGAAGAAGCACAATAGCAGAAAACAAGTTGGTATTTTGCATGGATGAAAGTTCACTAAAACTACTACAGTATATGTTGTTATGATTAAGCATATACATACAAATAGCTCCTTAAATGATGAGCTATATGTATCATCATACATATGGTGGCCAGTTTGGAAATCTACAGCTTAACATTAAGTTATGTAATATAAGACAATGTAAGAACAAATATTGGGGACTGGATTTCCAAGGCAATATTGAAAAAGATGGTACCATGTTGAATGGAGGAAAATGTATTATTTTGTAGAAGAGTTACATTTAGAGGTAGATAAGTTATTTAATAAGAAACATGATTAGAGTTACATTTAGAGGTAGATAAGTTATTTAATAAGAAGCATGATTATATGATGGTAAGATTATACTAGAAATATTTGTGTATTTAGAAATCAAGTGTTCGTTAATCAACTGTCAGTTAATGAACAAAATTTATTCAGCGTCTACTATGTTAGGTAATATAATCTTAAACTTCCTATTACTTGATATCAGTCAAAATCTCAGTACAGAGAAAAAACATTTAGAGAGAATTATCAAGAATATGTAGTCCATTCATACTAGAATTTAGATCTATGTTAACATACATTTTTTGAAGGAAAGTCTATGCAATTGAAAAAAAACTCTGCAAATTGCTTTTTATCCTCATTCAAAATAAAAATATGCCTGTATTACGTCTCATGGGAAAAATGCATATTCTTATATTTTAGATTATTTATTAAAATAGTGTTACTGAGAATATTAGCACTTAATATTCTACCTCTATAGGTAAGTTAATTATCTATCTCTATATGTAACTCTTCTACAAAATAATACATTTTCCTCTATTCAACATGATACCATCTTCTTCAATATTGCCTTGGAAATCCAATATTAAAATATTTATTGTGGCAGCATTGAGATAATTTACTAATTTCTCATCTTTTACATTGCATAGTGCTTTAGACTTCATTCCTTGATCCAGCAAATATTTATTAAGTGCTTGTTATTAACCAATGTTTATTAATTTAACTTGTTCCACCAGGGTTAGTATCATTATCCTTCCTTTATAGGTGAAGTTATTTACCTATATTAAAACAGTTAATTTCAGAGCTTGTAGGAAAACAACATGTATTAGCACCTATTACGTGCCCTTGCATCTCACTAGCAACCCTGGAGTCACGGAGATGAATAAATAATAATCTCCACTCTTCTCTACCTAAGCCTTTCTTATCCATGGTTGTAGGATTTTCTTAATAAAACCGATGAGGGAATGGAGAACCCTGTACTTAGGAGCAGCGATGCCATCAGTTTCCAAGAAGTATCAGAGGAATGCAAGCTGAAATGAAGTTCTATTTTGAAGTAGCTGAAGTTGAAGCTTTGGGACCATTTACAGAGATGATGTTGCTCCTCACTTCTTCGACAGAATTTCAGAGATTCTGAAATCTCTTCTTGCACCAGCTAGACCATCAAAGGGTGCCATGACTGGATCACATATTATAAATACTCCCTTCCCACAAAAATACCTTTTATTAGATTGTACCATGGCAAGATAGCATTTCCCAATATTTAGAAACTCCTTACTCTGTGAAAAATGTTTTCAATTTTTCTTTCTTCCAAAATAAAAATGTATAAAAATTTGTTTCCTAACCTTGGTTTCATGAATAGTTAATATGTGTCTTCAAAGCAACTCATTTCCTTATACTTTGGAGATATTGATAACATTTCCCACTTTTGATTGGTTTCTAAAAAGCTTAAAGTCAAATTTGTGGTCTACCTTTAGCACGTGTATAGAACTTCAGGGCAAATATTTTATGTACCAACCTCATGCTGGCTGGATTTTACTTTTTTAATTTTTACTCTCCTTTTCCTTTGGCTTTCTTACACATTTAAAATTCATTTTGTCTTGCATGCAGGTTTATAAGTTCTAATAAGTTATTTTTGTTACAACTCAAAATAATGTTAAATAAGTAACCAAAAACACAACACTCTGGAATTTATTTTCAAGGAACATGTTTAGAGCTAATAAAATTTTTTGTTGAAAAGGTTGGAAACAGCAGTAGCAATACAATTCTTGGATAAGTCACTGGAAATAAAGAAGACTGTTTTGAGAAATGCTGTTGGTAAGATAAGAAATATGTAAGTGAAAGTTTCAGACATACAAATCATAGGTATAGGCTGAAAAACAGCACAGACAGCGTTCATGGTTTTACAAGCTGAGCTGTTGGTAGAACCAGTTTTCAACCTTTTTTAGCTCCCATGCTGGGGAACATGGATATTGACTGTGTATGAAACAAGCACACTGGAAAACTTGAACAGTAGAATACAATTGTAAAAGGTGCCAATGGAAGATACACTCTGCACCTAATGACTGTAGATTTATTTATAAGGAGAGGCATAACCTGAAAGATCTTCCAAACACAATTATCCCAAATCCCCTGAAATGAGGCTAAGAATATAATAACAACAGCCAAACATAAAGGTCATGGCTTTGGACTTAACTGTAAGTTCTTGAATGATTATATTTATATTTATATATTATATAATATATATCGTATAATATATATGAATATATACTATTTGTTATAATATATAAATATATAATATATATTGGTATTATATTTTTTATATTTATATAAAATATAATCATTCAAGAAGGCTGACAATAATTAAGCCCATTGACTTTCATTTACTGGTGACCTGGTATGCTCCAATTAATCACTAAGTGGGTTGCAGAAATATCTCCCACGCCTCCTTACTTCCATTCTCAAATCGAGAGGCCTTAATTACAAATAAACTATCTATGTATTTTAAAAATTCACTCAGAAATGAGAGCCATTACTATTAACACATCAGAAATAATATTGTGTACCTGAACACAGAAATTACCTACTTTGTAACCTAAGATGGTTGGCATGATGTTTAACCAGTGTGAAACATGAAGGATATAGACATTTATCCAGAATGAAGGATATAGACATTATCCAGAATACATGTTAAAGAAATTTGTTTTCCATTTTTATAAGGTATGAGTTCATAGCCTTAATAATCCATTTGACAAGCAACCATGTCTGGGAATTATCACGGCATCTAATCCAGGTACAGAGCTTCCTGGAGAGAATCCAGCAGAGCCGTCCTTATAAACCTCCCATAGCCAAGACAAGCAGGGCAGGGATGAAATGCCTGTGATTCGAAGTCCAGTTGCCTGACCTGAAATCCTTTTGCTGAGAAACAGGATTTTTAAAAGGATTAATTTTGATAATGTACGTCATGAACATAGCAACTGAATAAAAGCATTTGATAGTTTGCTTTTATTTCTCACTGTGAGAAATTTTAACCTTAATAATCTGCTTATATCTTGTCCATTAAAACTTAATTTAACTAACATAAAGTATCCCTTAACATGATTTATTAAAGATTTTTATCTTAGATCCTTTGGAGCTCACTTAGATTTAAAATAATATAAGAATTAAGACCATGAATTCATCAAATATTTTTAAGCAAGCATGTTCATAGATCAATTGTGAAATTAAGGACAAAAACGATTAATAGCAAATAAATATCTGACATCTTTTATAACTATTCCTTCTTGAAAATTGTATCATTCAATTCATAAAAGGGGTTTTAGAAAACCACTTTCTCAAGTTAAACATGATCAGATGGGAGGTTTTACTTACATTAATAAATCGAATGAACAGTTTTAATTAAAAATGCATGCTATATTCAAAATAATGCTGAAGAGTAGATTTCTGATCAATTGTAACTGCCAGATGGGAGATTTTCATAAAAGCTGTTTTGAATATTTCACTTTCGTGAGCACATCACTTAAATATGCTGCCTACCAATCTCAAGCACAAATGCTATTCAGAGCATTAAAGTACTGCATGCAATAACTTAAGTACGTTTTTGTAATTTTTGTTTATAGACTTTAAATATAAAGCATGAAATTCAATAATTGAATTAGCACAGCTCTTTATCAAATTGCTCTAAGTAAATTTCCACAGTAAGCACATTGACGAAGAATTACAATGTGCCTGGTTAATAAGTTAAAGTTGTGCCGAGATAATAATTTGACAAGTGTCATGGACAACTACAGTGAGAAAAAATAATGTGCATTTTCCATAAGATTTTTATTTATATTAAGTTTTATAAAATTAAGTTATGCTGATATTTATAATTGAATATGTTAGCGTCAGTATAATAGAGAGGGGGGAGAGTATCACTTATTTGCAACATTTTATATTTGTCTAAAAATAACATTTTGCTTTTTACAAAAGAATTTTGACATTCATCATTTTATCTATTCTCAAAATATCCCAGTGATGTAAGGAAGCTATTACTTACTCCATTTAATAAGTGAGAAAACTCGGAAACATAGAGATTTAAGGCTTTGCCAAAGACAAAACACTAATTAAATAATCTAGGTCTGGAGTCTCTCATCATGATGTTCTGTTTTCACCACTTATCCCACATTTATGAAGAGTCAAAAGGGCTGAATTTCACTGATTCCCCAGTTAAATGTGAAAAGAATTAGAATCTAGAAGGAAAAAAATGAGAAGAACTCATTTTTTACTTTCCCTTCAAGTTCTTCACAAAGCCGTAGCATGTGATTATTTTTGCTTCTCTCCTCATCAGGAGGAAAAATAAGCAGCAAGAACACTAGTTTCAACATGATCCATAAAATACCCATAACAGGATCTTTAGGGGCCAGTATCATTTCACATCAGATTAATAATTAGATGCCTTGCTTATCTATAGCTTAGGACTGGGCTGTGTACCTTTTATTTTATTTTGCCTTCATTATTA
This sequence comes from Homo sapiens, assembly GCF_000001405.40. Lineage (NCBI taxonomy): Eukaryota > Metazoa > Chordata > Mammalia > Primates > Hominidae > Homo > Homo sapiens. The sequence goes on along the minus strand of NC_000005.10, from coordinate 91,851,440 downwards.
GCTGTGCTCTCACTTTTGCAAGGAAAGTTGTTTTAAAATTTCTTAGTGAGATGCAAGCAAGGGTTTAGAGAGTTTGCAGAATGAGTTATACAGCATTCCCCACTTACCCATGATTTTGCTTTCTGTGGTTTCAGTTACCCACAGTCAACCTCAGTCCAAAAATACTAAAGTATTTTAAAAGAGAGAGACCACATTCACATAATTTTTATTGCAATATATTGTTATAATTGCTTTATTTTATTATGAGTTACTGTGTTAATCTCTTACTGTGCCTAATTTATAAATTAAACTTTATCATAGGTACATATATATAGGAAAAATTATAGTATATATAGGGTTGGGTACTAGTCACAGTTTCAGGCATCCACTGAGAGTTTTGGAACATATCCTGTGCTGATAAGGAAGGACTCCCATACCAGAAATTTTAGAATTTAGCAGCCACAGTGAAGAACAGGATCAGGAGATCAGGGTATAACACACAAACACAATTAGGAAAGAATTCATTTAGAGATGAGAACCTCTTCAAAAACATGGATATGTGTCTAGAAGGAAAGTGTTAATCTGTAAGTTCAGACCAAAAGCAAAAATATGTCATATGAATTTCTTTCTCTCTGTTCAGACCAAGGATAAATTTTAAAATTCTTGATGGCAATCCCAGAGAAGACCAGAGAGACCAAATGCAGTGAAACAGGCAGTCGATCAGCATCAACAATATCAAACTTCAAATATCATTTCAATACTTTTAAGGCAAAGTATCCATGCCAGACACTCTGCTGATCATTCTCATATATGTTATCTTATCAATCTTTTTAATATCCATATGGTGTAAATAACAATATTTTCATTTTACAAATGAGGAAACCAAGATCCAATTACTTGAAGTAATTTTTCCAGGTAATAAAAGGTATAAGCAGGATAATTCCTAGGTTTTTGAAAATCAGTGTATTTATGCTGAACTTCTGGATGTATCTCCACAGCAGAACAGACTTTAATACGAGACCCATGAGCGCATTCTGCAAAAATAATGCAAACTCCTTTTTGAGAACATGGATGTAACCTGTGCCAAGGATTACGGTGTCCCAAGTGTATCAGGAAAGTATATCCGATTCTCTCTGAAAAGATAGCTATGGTATCTCTCCCTCATTCCATTCATGACATAAAAACACTAACTTGACATTGATGGTCTTCATTCTGATTCAAAAAGACAACTTGATTACTGCCTGATGACTCATGCTCCAGGACTATTACAATGTGAAATACTTTTCTGTGAAGTCTTTGCAAAGCATTCTCACAGTAAATATACTCAAAATTTTCATACATTTTTATAGTGAAGACACCTCCTATTGTGACTACTTCAATTAGTAGCTTGATCTCAGACTTGGCAAGTGTTTATAGGCAGTTGTTGTACCAGGATTCTGTGAAGAGAGAAATTAAGAAGAACATTATTAATTGCCTCACCATTTTGTTCCCAGCTGTCTTTTACAGGCAATGACAGAAGGATAAGAAAGGTAATCTTCCTGGTGAAAGTCAGTAAATTGCCTTTTCATTGAGAGAAAAGTTAGGGGTGAAATTATCAAGGAGTGCAGTGACTGTGAAAAGTCTCAGGCTAAAGTATACCTTATATAAAGTTTGCTAAATTACCTTGCAAGGATTATGAGTCCAGGCATTGGAAAGTAGTAGTTTCATTTGGGAAGCCCAGCTTCTGTAAGTCTGGAGGGCTGATTCTGTAAGTACCTCCACAGATTGTCATATAAATACTCTAAGGTTAAGTTTTGTCTTGGAAGCTAGAGTAGAATTGATTATCAAGTTAGTTACATTTTTCCAGAAAAAGGAAAAGCAAGATGGTGATGTTATGGGAAAACATTTTTAAAATCTGAAAAATTTGATGCAGAGGGCAAAAGAGTGGCATCTGATTAAAATGAGTCTTTACTGCATTACTTAAGTAGATTAAAGGTCAAAATATACCACTACTATGAAACATTCTCCTACAGCAAAAACTTAACATGGTTAGGATATCTGACACAAACTACTAACTGTTCACAAGCCCTCCTTTTTTCCTTCTGGACGTACCAGTAGACTACATTCCTCAGTCTCCCCTGCTGTTAGGTGGGGCTGTGGGATGTTTCACAATAAGGCACATAAAAAAATCCCCAGGCAACCCCCCATGCTCTCATTATTTTCTCTGGCCTGGTAGCCAGATGCAGAGGATGCATTGGAGGCATTTTGGATCCTAGGAATCCTAGAAATGGCAGAGTCACTAAGTCAAAGGAATGCGAGTTCCCTCAACCCATACTTAACAGAGACATAAGCAAGAAATAGAGTTCTCAGTGATGTAAACCACCGTAATTTGGGGTGCATTTGTTTTGCATATAGCAACCCCTGACCTGACCAATACAGCAGAAGAGTATCACTTTTATCACCCTATAACTGTAGTTTTCAATGCTCCCAACTTCCTTAATGTCCACATCTCTTATGTTTTAGGAAACAAACTTTGTATGCTTTCTCAGATTCTCTTGACCACCTTTTCTTCTCTCTCTTTTCTGGTCAAGTCCTCATTCATATTAGGTCACTGGTTTACCTTTGGACTTGGATGAAAAGGCCATAATACAAGGGATCTCTCTGAATGGTACTGACAAGCCAGATTATACAAGCCATCAGTGTAGGGGTAAAACACTCTGCATAAGATTTGACCAATAGGTAACTTGAGATGGGAGAAAGCTGGGAAGACACATTTCTCCTCCTTTCCCTCTTCTAGGAATGACTCATTCTTACCACACTTCCAAAGAAGTTCTATGTGTTGTGTGAACACATTCACTATGCATCTGGCAGTATCTCTTAGTGACTCATCATGCAATGGTGACCAGTGTTGTGACATAAGGCATTAAATTTCTCTGCGGCGTCCTCGCTTTGCTTCTGTTTTTCATTTATACTTCAGTGGGCTTGAATCTTCTAAATAAAATCATAGCATCTTAATCCTTACCTCAGGCTCTGCTTTTTAAAGAATTGAGCTAAATCATCTTATTTGCTTCATTATTGTTTAAGTATCTAGTCTCTTATGTTCTTGTCCTCCCCCAGGCCCCAACCTGACACATCCTTGTCCAAGATCCTATCATTATATAAAGTTTTAGACAACAATAATTATAATCTCATGCACAATGACACAAAAGCTCTAAACATAGGAATACAGAATTTCTGACATGAAACTTTTATAGAGTATCCTAATGATCATCAGGATCAGTGCAAAGAAGTACAAGACCTGTCCTCTGTCTTTATAAAGCCCTGTTTAACAGGCTACAAATTATTAAAAACATCATTGGACACAGTGAGACGTGTTATAATACAGGTATATGTTTCAGATTTTATGGGTGGCAAGCTGGATAGATTGTTACAGGAGTCTTTCTCATGTCTCTAAAATCATATTAATAGACAACTAAACAGAAATCCCACGTAGATTTTTTAAGGCAAATAGCATAATTAGATATTTGAGCTACATACTTTATTTAATTACTGTTCTTATTGGTCTCTTTCCTATCTGTTTACTTTTACTAAGCATACAGTCCTCATCTGACTAGGCAAACCCTTTGAAGTTCAAACACTTACCATCATTTCTGCCTTAGGGAAGTTTTAAAATGAGTTCTCTTTTTTTAGCTTGTAGTTGAACCCAAGAAAAAATTAGAAGAGTCTAGAATTAGGTATTAGCTCTATAATTTCATTATGTTGTTTAAATTCCCTGAAGATCAGAAATAACTATATTCAAAATTCAAAGGAGACATATTTCAAAGTCAAAAGTTGTCCCTGTGGAATTTACTAGGAACATTTGTTCTCTTTCACCAGTTCAGATGACCAATAGCCTATTCCATATAAAAATGAAAAGAAAATAATGCATCTGTGAGGTTTCTTCTTTATCAGGCCATCTTCTGATCATTTAACATACATTTTCTCATTTAATTATTACCATTGTCTCATAATGTAGGTTGCATTATCCCTATTGTCTGGAGAGAAAACAGAGACTCAGAAGATTAAACTTTGCATAAAATCACATAATGAATCAGTCATTGGGACATACTTCAAACTCAGGTTTTTATATCTAAGTTCACCTAGAACATTAAAAAATACATATATTAACAATTGTAGGCTAAAATACTTCTGAAAATCCGAAAGTACCTGCAGTAGTTTGTTAAAGTGTACTCTCGTAATAAATAGGGTAAACACAAAATATACAAAATAATATTTTATTAAATTATACCCTTCTGATCATTCAACTTTTTGAAAACAAACGAAGTGAGGCATAGGTTTCTCAGTAAAAAAAAAAAAAAAAGAAAAAAAAACCTCTAGCATGCTTAATAAAGTAACCAATATTATCTCAAAGAACACAAAATATAAGAACATTCTTCTTTCAGTGGGCACTTGGCAACTTGTACGGGAAATCAGGCAGCTGGGTCACAGCATAGTAAATTATTTAAAATTCAAACGTATTCACTTCACATCATACCCTGAAACAAATTCCAGATGTGTTAAAAAGTAAATTTTACTGAAAATTAAGTCAAAGTAAAAAGAAAATTATATTGAATATTTATCAAACCTCTAACAAAGAAATAATTTTCAATGCTTTGAATACGTAAAGAATGCACAAAGGAAAATATCAGTAAATGGTACCATAACATTTAAAATGTGAATATAAAAAAATTTAAAAGTTAAACTGAGAAATTTTCCAACAAATGTAGTATTGGTTTAATTACTTGATTTTATTTTTATGCATGTGAAAGATGCATGTGAAGCATTCAAACTTCTGATAGAAAAGTCACTAATAATATGACAGATACATGGACAAGAGTTTAAACATATAATTGACATTTAAAGGAAACAGAATTATCAAACACAGATTTGAAAATGTAAGAACTTTCTTGTAGCCAGAAAACGTAGATTAAAGCAAGTACCATTTGACATATGGAACTACAAAAATAAATAAGTAAATAAATATCTAACATGCTGGTGAAAGTACAGTGAACTTACCATCCCATTCATTCTTGATGACAACAGAAATGAGTATAACTCTTCTAGAAAGCAATTTGACAAATACCTTGTCAAAGGCATTCCCAGTCCCTGGAATCTAGCCTAATGAAATCAGCCAAAATACTGAAAAAGTTAAATATAAGGTATAGCATTACACTATGAACAATTTAAAGCACCCCAATGTCTAATAGTGGGGGAAGGTTTTAGTATATTATCACTGATCCACTAGATAAAATTTATGGCTGTGTTTAGAATATTAATTGTAATTACTGTTAAAGAATGAAGACAGGCTGGGCACGGTGGCTCACACCTGTAATCCCAGCATTGTGGGAGGCCGAGGCAGATGGATCACCTGAGGTCAGGAGTTCGAGAACAACCTGGCTAACACGGCGAAACTCCGTCTCTACTAAAAAAAATACAAAAATTAGCCAGGTGTGATGGGGAGCTCCTATAATCCCAGCTACTCGGGAGATTGAGGCAGGAGAATTGCTTGAACCCAAGAGGTGGAGTTTGCAGTGAGCAGAGATGGCACCACTGCACTCCAGTCTGGGCGACAGAACGAGATTCTTTCTCAAAAAAAATTAAAAGGAATGAAGACAGTTATAATACTTAAAATAAGTATTTATTGATGCAACATAATATGGATGTGTTTAAGTATACATTTTAAATTGTTTCTAAATAACTGGAGTGGGTAACATTAAAATCCTAATAGTAGTTAAATTTTGAATTCACTTTTAACATTTGTCCTATTTTCATAATTTTATTTTTAAAATCTTTTCTGGGGCAGGCTTCTCTACATCTACGTGTGTGTGTGTGTGTGTGTGTGTGTGTGTGTGTGTGTGTGTCTGTGTGTGTGTGTATTTTTTTTTTTTTTTTAAGACAAAGTCTTGCTCTGTTGCCCGGGTTGGAGTGCAGTGGCGTGATCTCAGCTCACTGCAAGCTCTGCCTCCAGGTTCAAGCAATTCTCCTGCCTCAGCCTACTGAGTAGCTGGGATTACAGGCACGTGCCACCAGGCCCAGCTAATTTTTGTATTTTTAGTAGAGACGGGGTTTCGCCATGCTGGCCAGGCTGGTCTTGAACTCCTGGCCTCAAGCGATCCGCCCACCTCGGCCTCCCAAAGTGTTGGGATTTCAGGGGTGAGCCACCGTGCCCAGCCTACATGTATATATTTTTAAAGAGGTTACATATCAAGACTGTGTTAGAACTGATATGCCAAATGTTGGGATAAGAAATAGCATGATCAAGATGAATAGGTGACAAACAATAAAAGTCAAAACATAAACACTAGGCTGGGCGTGGTGGCTCATGCCTATAATCCCAGCACTTTGTGAGACCAAGGTAGGTGGATCTCCTGAGGTTAGAAGTTCGAGACCAGCCTGGCCAACATCGTGAAACCCCGTCTCTACTGAAAATACAAAATTAGGGCCGGGCACGGTGGGTCATGCCTATAATCCCAGCACTTTGGGAGGCCGAGGCAGGCAGATCACTTGAGTCCAGGAGTTCGAGATCAGCCTGGCCAACATGGTGGAACCCCATCTCTACTAAAACTACAAAAAATAGCCGGGCATGGTGGCACACACCTTTCTAATCCCAGCTACTCAGGAGGCTGAGGCAGGAGAATTGCTTGAACCTGGAGGCAGAGGTTGCAGCGAGCCGAGATGGCGCTACTGCACTCCAACCTGGACAATGGAGTTTTGTCTCAAAAAAATAAATTAATTAATTAACTGGGCTCGGTGGTGGTTTATCAGGTAAACACAGCATTGTGATGCATGCAGTCACAGTTAAGTAATATCTAATAACATAGATAATTTATGTTAAATTCACTTATACCATCTAGTGTCATATAGGGTAATGCCCCCAAATTTGCAAATGGATGTTTTTCAAAAAAGAAATTAGAAAATTGTCCTGAGAGAGTTATCACTTTGGCTGGACTCACTAATGCCATCTTCAAAGGCTTACTATGATAATTGACAAACTGGAAGAGGACATCAGCAGCTCTATAACCAATAGCACGGGTGCCAGTAGACCCTTGGTCATCTTAGTCAGTGTGGCCCTCTTATTGGAAAAGGTGGTTGCAAAATCAAGGAAATATGAGACAGTGTAGAGGCTCAGGTGCAGCTGACAGAGGATATGCTCCCAACTCAACTGAGTGGGCCATCACTATTGCTAACATTCTGTAATCCACAATTGAGTGTGTCAAACAGACATGCGTAGACATGCTGGAGACTCTCCCAGTAACCCCGGAAGGGCATGACTATTCCTTACCAGCCCAAGCTATTATTGAGTTCTCTGGTCATCTTTGCAGGTGGTAAGGACAAGTACATCACAAGCAGCAACAGTGCGAACTTTCCCCACACCACCCTGTCCATGTGCTTCTGTGCTTATCTGGAGGGATCACCTCTAGAGTTGACCAAGCTGCACCAGTAGGCAATGCAACAGGCTTATTTTCCCATGACTCATGGCAACACTGGATACAGTGCAGGTTTGAATGCATCTGCTCCAACTACTTCTCATGAACTCACCATTCCAATTGATTTGATTGGCTGAATAATTTCAGACATCAAGGCACCAAAATCAAGGAGATCCCTCAGAAGTCTGGGGTGCAGATCAAAATTTGAACCCAGTGGAAGGATCTACTGATAGGCAGGTTACAATCGCTGGATCTGCTGCCAGCATTAGTCTGGTTCAATATCTAATAAATGTCAGGCTTTCCTCTGAGACAGGTGGCATGGGGAGCAGCTAAAATAATGTAGATTCATCCATAATTTCTTTCTGCTGTTCACCACCATTCATGATCCTTCTGTGTAGTTCCTGAACAGTCAGTGATTCCAGGTTTTAAATTGTTTGTAAATGTTCTATTTCTACACTTTATTATCCACTCAAGATTTTTTAATTAAAGCTTTTAATTCCTTTAAAAAATTAGAAAGTTAATTTAGCCAGAGAGAGAGAAAGAGGATAGATATAGACAGACAGAACAATAGACAGAAAAATAAATGTCTCCTGTGCCTGAGCATTTTGTATACATAGTTCCACCCCTCTACATGATTCTAACAATGTTTCTTGGCTCTAAGTTACTGGAAACAGCTCTCCAACAATAAATCTGCACATCACCTGCGTCTCAGTATGCACGCAGCATGCGCAAGTCAAATTGATTGGAACCTGTTGATATGAGTTGATAAACCTCATAAACACGAGCTGTAAAAATGACTGATACTGACTTTTGAAAAGTTCATTTTTCTTTACATACAAACCAAATATTTTCTATACTCAAATGATATCTTTGAAACCAGGGAGTCATCTGAGTTAGTACAGAGCTTTGCTCTTCCCTCTCACTTCCCTCCTCCTATTGCCATTAGGACAATACAGTAATCGCCACCATTTACTGAACCTTGTGTTTCCTATGTGCCAGGCACTTGGAATCTGCTATTTTATTTGTCTCTTAACAACAAGCTGGTGAGGTCTAGACAATGATTCCTGGAGGGCTATGCATGACTCTTGAAAACACACTAGCAGCAGCCATTCCTGTCTGCTCATAAGACTCATTGGGCCACCACTCAGAAATGCACTATGGAAAAAAAAATTAAGGATTTATGGTCTGTACTGTGATCTTCTCAAACAGGTGATCTAAGAAAAGGTGCAAAACCAGACATGAGGAGTAAATTGTTGCAGCAGAAAGAAAATAAGCCTGAAAGTTATCTATTCCTACTTCCGTTGTTTAGTTTGGGTGATCTTAGTTAAAGTCATTTAAACTCTTCAACTCTCCAAGCCTCAGGGACCTCATATTCATACATCAAAATGACCACCATTTTAATCAAAGCTTTTTTTTTTAACTGTAACAGAAACCATATCAGACATTCTCAGGCAAAAGTAAATTTGCCAGAATTATACAGCAATATTGTTAGGAGCATAGCTACATTTTTTCAGAATTTTGAATCTGAAACTGGAATGTTATCAGGAACCTAAATGGTTCCTTTTCGGGGGCAGAACTCCAACACCCACCAGAAAGCATAAATTTAAACCCTAATTTCACCACTTAATTGTCTCATCCCTTAAACACTTGGGAATTTGATAGTAGTGCTTAACATAGTGCATGGCCCTAAGTAGGCACTCAATAAATGGGGGTTATTTTATCATTACTCTGTCATCAAGAATAATTTGATAATAAACAGTGATATACTTAGCCCCACAGAGTTGTAAGATCATGTTTCATAAATCATTAGGTATGCGGAAGCAGTACAGAGAAATTAAGGTTTTAGGCTGTAGAGTCAGTTTGCTTGTATTACAATTCCAAATCTACTACCTATTAGCTGTGTGACCTTAAGAAAGTAAATACTGATTATGATAATAAGAGCATCTGTTTAAGTGGTGAAGATTAAATGAGGTAATACATAACATTTAGGTCGGATCCTGATGGTAACTGAATTTTCAATAAGTATTAGCTATAAAGTTATTATTTAAAAAAAACTATGTGTTTAGAAATAACAAATTTTAAGTAAACCAGAGAAATGGAAAACTTGAAAGAAATCAAAAAGCTATTTTAGAACTACCACAACACAGTGGTCTAAAATAGGAAAACACAGTCTTAACTTGGCCGCTACTTGACTCTTGCTGTCTTGAGTCTTCCCTTTTCTTCCTTTGAAAGTCATCAGGAATAAAGAAATGACTAAGTTGACATAATTTAAATGGCTTCCTATACATTCTAGTGCAGCATCAGCACCACCTGGGAACTTGTTAGAAATGCAAATTCTCTGGCTGTTCCTTAGACTCACTGTATCAGAAGCTCTTTGGAGGGGTAAGGGGTGCAGCCCACTGTGTTTCAACAGGCCCTCCTGGTGACTCTCAGAACCACAGAGCAGAAGACTCTGGCTATGAATTAGAATCACCTATTGAGTTTAAAAAATATTGCTGTGACTACCAGGGCCCTATCCTAAAACAACTGAATTAAAAATCACTGAGGATAGGGCCAGGACATTAATGTAAGTATTTTTAAAATATGACAAAAGTTTCCCTCTATAGCCAGAAAAAGAATCATTGCAATTATTCTTTCCACACAATCATAATGCAAGTGGTTCAGCAGCCACCACCTAGGTTGTCTCTGAAGAGTATTCAGAATTGGTTCTAAGCTCCTCCAATCCTCACATTACGGATGCTTTAATACTTTAAGATCTCCTCTTTCCCTACCTCAGGTTAACACTCCTTCATGTACATCTAATCCCATAAGGAAACCAGTTCTTAGATCCTTTGTTCTTACTGATAAAAATCTCAATCAACCCAGAAGAATATTTTTAAGTGAAATTTTATCCATTAGACAAATGAAATTTCAAACATTAGCCAAATGGAGTGTGTAAGAATTAGGGGCAGGGAAGTGGGGAACCCTTGTCACTATTTCTTTATAAATTACCCAACCTCTTTCCTCAGCTACAATGAATTATAAAGCATTGATTATTACATTGTATTGAGTGGCATACCTTAATGAATACTAACTCATTTCAGTGCTTTTTGACAACCTACCGAATTAACTTACACTGACTGTATTATTATGAGATCAGCTACTCAGCAGCAGCAAAGGTGCTAATTGGTGCATTTAGTAGCAGTGAAAACATAACCTACAAAGATATTTGGAAGTAGAAAAATGGGAGCGCATTGATAATATGAACTAGAATGATTAGATTTCTGTCTATTACGTAGTGCAACAAAAATAAAGCCATTTTAATAGAATCGTGTCAAAGGACCTATGTCTCCTGCTTTGAAAACAAATGTGTTGGCTTCCTGTCAACATTTTCAGGGCTTAACAGCAGGAGGTCATTACCCTTGGACAATGCTCAGTTACACAGACATTATCTCCAATTAACAGGTTTTAACTGTAACAATTTCTGTTTTATTGGAAAAAAGGGGGGTTTTTTAAATGAAAAACTACAAAAGTGATTCCGTAATCTTGTCTCCTTGACTGGAATTAGGATGGTTACATGTACCCTTACACACATACACACACTTGCACACACATCTGAGTCAATAGAGTAGTTTTAATGTCCTTGAACTCTTTTTAAAGCATGGTAGACACATATTCCAATCTTTACATAAACAATTGGCAAAGACAGCTTTTTCATCAAAAAATAGTAAAATAAACCTTTCCCCATGTTGATGCAGCTAAGACATTTTGAGTGTTTCAATTTCCAAAATAAAGTAAGTACAAATGAAACATTTATCAATTATAATGCATTATGTTTTCCGTGTCATTTCAGAAGGTATTATGGTAATAATTCTGGATGATGGCCAGAAGCTCAGAGGAGAATTTTTAACACCCTCTCAATAGACACATTTATAGCTTTTAACTATGCAGAATACTGGTCTTATCAGCGCATAGCAGGGAAATGATTAAAATATTTCAGGAGAATTCAAACTTGGTTGTCCTTAGGTGGAAACGAAGCATCATTCTGGGCTGAAACCTCCAATTATATAAGATAGGAAGTCACAGAAAGACATCAGATTCGTACACTGTCAGTCTACACGACAGATGGTAGTGTCTGGCAATGCCTTTTTTATAACAGAAAATATTATTATAAAAATATCCACAGAAGACATTTTTAGTTCCCTGACTTAATATGTGGAAAAATTAGAGATTTTTATAGAAATTAGAGGTTTAATACTCAATAGTATGAAACAGTAGTTTTCTTTGAAATCTATGCATTAACTATTCTGTCATTTCTTAGAGAACTTTTTATAGTTGGAAGTCATCTGTTATTTTAATCTCTCTCTTTCTCTCTCTTTCTCACCCATCTATTTAAATTCAACCTAAATCTATATGTTTTTATACAACAGTTAAATCACACTATCGAGTGTTGTGATGTGCTGTAAATCACATTTTAGCCTTCCCCTCTGTTATTACAAAAGAATTGCCTTTATCTCAAAGGGGATATGTCCTTATAGATGAAGTTTCTTGAAGGTAGAATTCTCCTGAGAGCCACACGTTTGAGTGGCATGTTCTTAAGCATATTGCATTATGTGTCAGTATAATTAGCATATTCTTCTGGATTGTAAAAAGTAACAATAGCTGACAGCTGAATATGTAGGGAAATGGTCTGTAAGACTATCTAAGAACTAGGGAATCTAGTCCTTGTGTGGAACAAGCAGGTGTAGCACACTTTTTGTGATCCTGTTTTGAAAATGAATGGAGGAGGTTTAGACTCCCAGGTGGTGAGACCATTCCTGTCTCATACTCAGACACCATGTTCAGTGTTTATAGTGTGGGGTGCAAAGCAAGCCCAGGGGGTGGCTGAAAAAGAGAGAACAGAAATGGAAATATCACTGCCTGGTTTTGGCAAAGTACATAAGATGTATCAATATAGCAATGGAAACATCCCCAAGATTTCAAAGAATCTTACTAACGGGAAAAGGTCACTGTGTTCTCAGAAATGTTATATATTGCTGCAGTGATTATTCTCAAACCAGAGAACTGTAATTCTGGTTCTACTTCATCAGAATGAGCTTGGAAAGGTGGGCAGTTAGATCTGTTGCATAGCTAGGACAAAGATTCAAAATGTGCAAAACTCATCATTAGGTAGAAATAAGCAACAAAAGCAAAATAGCCACAGGGGGAAAAAAAAAAAAAAGCTGTTTCGGAGAATTTTATGAGGCAGAGAATGCCCTCTTAATTATACATACTGGAAAGGCATTTCAAGGAATTGAAGGGGTATTAGGACAGTCCACAGGACAGCATGTTTTCTTCCTTCTCTGGAGCGTACTTGTTTTTGTGATCTACTTGCTGAATTTCAAACTAAAATGATAGGAACGATCATGTCTCAGGTCATTCTCACAGCTAGCTTTTTTTCTCCTAAACTTTACTTTGTGGATAAAAATTGTTGAAAGATTAAAGGTTTTTATTTTCAAATGAAATTTGGAATTAAAAATTGGTAGACAAAAGCCCTGAAATTTTGAAAATAGAGGAGGAAGGCCTAAGCAGATTTACTACTGAATTAATTACTGACTTTACATATATGTGAGTGTGTGTGTGTGTGTGTGTGTGTGTGTGTGTGTCACTTTCATCATCTTTCTATCCGTGGCCCTAGCATAGGAAAAGAACACTGCAGCTTGATTTTAAGGGCTTCTACTACTGTCGCTGTAACTTTAACTTTCGGACATGTTATTCTTTGCAATATGTCACACCCCCATTCTCCAGACTTCTGTATGTAAACCTACCAAACCCCTATAGTTTAAAGAAGCCACAGGAAAGGGCTCAGATAGTATCATATTTACAGTTTAATTTTCCTTTAAATGTATAAACCAATGTAACAGCATCACATGGACTAGACAATATAGTCTTTTACTCTGAAACAAAAGCACACACCCTAGTATCAGCTGTAACTTGGTTTCATTCACCTCTCTACTGTCTCAACAACTATTTACTGTGGCAGAATCACTCTCACAGTAACAATAACTCATTTAAATGTATATGCCACAAGCTTTTGCCTTTGGAGACCAAGAAGTATAATCCAAAAAGCTTCTGTGAAGTCTAGAGCCTCCGATGTCCCATATTTATGTCTAAAATCCTCCATTAGAAACACATCATATTCTATCGGAGGTTCTCTTTTATAGTACAGACACTTCTAGGAAGTCTAGCTTTTTAAGGCAATACACTTTAGAGAGAAAGTCTTAAGCATTCTTGAATTATAGAAGAAGAGGGTCAAGAAATATCTGGCCGAAGAGTAGGTTCTGGCACCACAAGTACAAACATCTTGACTATGTTGCCTGGGATCAGTTTATATGGGTGGCTACCCATGGTAGGCAGTTTCCAATGTAACAGACCTCTGGGGCCTTGTTCCCTTTTCTGAAGTAACTGAAGGTTTTTCTCAAAGACTGTCCTGGAAAATGCCAGTTATCCTGTAGGATTGTTTAACTCCAGATTGATGATTCATTAACGTTAATACATCATTTATTTCTTACTTCAACTAATATTTATGAAGGTCTCCAATATGTAGGAGGCATTGTGCTCAACAATAGGAATAACATAGTAATCACCCACAAGAAGAAAAGTGAAGTATAGATTAAATTGGATCTGTATAGGTAATAATTCATTTCAAAGCAGGGTTATTTGTGATGTAATGAGGTTCATATTACACTGGATGATTTCTGAAAATCAGAGACTTCTTGGCTAACTCCAGATAACCAGACAACCATCCTTTTCCTGGAGATAGTCAAAAAAAGAACTGGAAGGACTTCATTTTTCCAAATGCTTGGGTTTAATAAGGATGTCCAGATAGTCTATCACAGACTGGTCTCAGTGTGGACTGGACCTAAACCTGAAGCAGTCAATCAATTGTTTACTAAGAACCTCATGTTCAACACACTTTGTGCATGGGACACAAAGAAACGTGAAATTCATTCCCAAGTTGAAATATAGACTATAAGCAGAGAAATACACACAATTAAGTAAATGGCATATGAGTTCTTGAATTCAGATGAAATACGAGAGAGTATAGGCAATGGAAATTAAAACACTCTGAGTGGAGCATTCATTCAATTTCTGATACTATGAATCTCTGTGTTACAACCCACGTGAATTCCCATTCATTTTCACACCAAATTTATAAAATTTAGCATACATGTTAAAACTCAGAATTCGTGGTTAGTTCATCAAAGCAAGTCCTATTTAAATATCTCTTTATACTCGGAATATAGGACAATGCATTGACTCATAAAGCATAATAAAATAAATACTTTTTAAAAAGTGTTTAATTTAAGAACACTTAGAGGACATATAATAATAACCTTATTTTATTTTGGTTGTGCTGGTAATATATAATTTTTCTGAGTTATTCAGTTATAGAAAGATGATAATTAACTACCACAAACCTTATTCACCAATATATAAAAACTGGCAGTACTAGTTACACTCCAATTTGTTAAAGAAATTTTGTAGATCAAAAATGTAAATACTATATTTGCTCATTGAAAGTCATGTTAAAGTAATTTTGTTTATTAAACCATTGAAGGGAGAATGAAATGTAAACTTTCTTTTCTAATAAACTCTCAGAGCTCAATCTTGTATATATAATATTAATGATTTAGAGTTAGAATAAATTTTAGCTATTTGTTGGAAAAGGAAATATGTTATGATTGAACACATGTAATCTTTCAAAACCTATCTGGAAACATAAGCCTATGGTTGTATTTTTAATTTCACTTTTATGCAGTTATCCTTTTCATAAGTATTAAAGTTTAAAATTTAAATTATTCACATATTTTAGCAATGTAATTAATGGAAAGCAATGACAGATAGATGATGTGGTTAAGTATGTACACATAATATGTATGCATGTGTGTATAAAGAGACAGAGGGGGGCTGGGCTCCCAGCACTTTGGGAGGCCAAGGCAGGTGAATCATCTGAGGTCAGGAGTTCAAGACCAGCCTGGCCAACAAGGTAAAACTCCATCTTTACTAAAAATACAAAAATTAGCCAGGTTGTGGTGGTGTGTGCCTGTAATTTCAGCTACCTGGGAGGCTGAGGCGGGAGAATCACTTGAACCCAGAAAGCAGAGGTTGCAGTGAGCTGATATCACACAACTGTACTCCAGCCTGGATGACAGAGTGAGACCCTATCTCAAAAAAAAAAAAAAAAAGACAGAGGGGTATTTTTATAAGTTCACTGTAATTTCACATGTAAAAAGAAATGGGAAATGCCACAATGTAATACTCTCTTTCTACATGCAAACATTCTTACTATGCCGAATTCTACTTTTTTTTACCAGATTCTTAAGATCCATCTGTTTCTTGATGAAATATACATTTTATTCCAGTTTCGATCATATCAACCACCTCATTTCTCAGAACATAGACTCTGTGAATGCAAGGATATATTAAACACATGGACAGTCAAGGTAAAATGTGAAATCGACAAAACTGGCCTTTCTACTTTCCCTCTCCCTAACTTTATCCACCCAACTGGTGCCTCCACCTACTCCCCTGATGACCAGTGCTTCCAAGCCTTCTTATGGCTTCCTAGAAAGCCCACTAGTCCCCCTTCTAAGCCAAGATATGGAACCAACCTAAGGGTTTATCACTGGATGGATGAATGAAGAAAATATGATGTGCATAAACAATAGAGTACTATTCAGCCTTAAAAAAAAATAAGGAAAGACAACGTGGTTGAACCTGGAGGACACTGTGTTCAGTGAAATAAGCCAGGCAAAGAACAAATACTGCATAATCTCACTCATACATGGAATCCAAAAATGTTAACTCTTAGAAGCAGAGAATAGAATGGTGGTTACCAAGGACCACAGCTCCAGGATAGGGAGAAATGTTGGATAAATGATACAAATTTTTAGTTAGATGGGAGGAAAAAGTTCAAAAGATCTTTTGGATCTATTGTACAACTTGGTGGCTGTAGTTAAAAACATAGTGTATTCTTTAAAATTGGTGAGAGTAGATTTGAAGTGATATGTATGTACACGATAAGCATGTGAGGTAACACATATGTTAATTAATACAATTTAGCCATTCCCCAGTGTATACATATTTCATAACATCATGTTGTCCATTATAAATAAATACAATTTTATTTTCAACTAAAATGTAATTAATACAAAAGAATTTACTTCCATTTATTACATAAACTACAGTGAAATGTTGATAGCTAAAAGGATGTAATCAACTCCCAGAGGTATTTATATTTTAAATGTTTACTATTTCTCAATAAACAAAGTACTAATTTACCACTGATTTGGCACTGGCTGTGTAGCATTGGCTGAGGCTGAATGGGACACAAAAGATATATAACAGATTGTCCCTGCTCTTGAGGAGTTTGACACTGTTTGGATTGGAGGAGATATTTCTAATATGAAACATTTTGAGCAAAAGTGCCAGTCTTTGATTCTAAATAATTGGAATTCTCAGTTGTAAGCATTTGGAGTGAGTTGGAGTAGGTAGAAAAGTCTTCAGGAAGGACACAGGTTATTATCAAAACCTTAAGTAATACCCGAGATTTAAAAAGCAGAGCCAATGATTGAGTCATTTCTAAAACTGGAAAGAGCACAAGCAAAGGCGTAGAGATAGGCCAAAAAATTGCTGTGCAAGAGACACTTTGGAGGCTAATTGAATATGACATCTGCTAGTCACTCAGATCAGCAGACCCGACCTAGGGATAAGAGGAAGGACGGCTGTATCTGTCAGGAGAGTGAAACTTAGCGCAGTGAGAAATAAACTCAGGTAGCTTGAGTAGCATGTTAGTTTTCTATTCCTGTTTACATTTATGGAGGTTTTAGGGAAGAATGCTATTCCTTACCTTTTCCAGCTTCTCCAGGCTGCCCACATTCTTTGCCTTCCAAAGATGCCATGTCTTAATCCGTGGAACATATGAATTCCGTCACCTTACATGGCAAAGGGGACTTTGCTGATGAGATTAAATTAAGGATCTTGAAACTGGGTGGTTACCCTGAATTAGCCAGATGGGTTTCCTCAGTGTTTAAGATTAACACAAAGTACAACAAACATCTTATAAAAATAAAAGTTTCTAGAATGAGGAAATCTTTCAAAAAATCACTCATCAAATGAATACTGTTTGATACTGGCTTATTTGCTTGTTTGTTTTTTGCTTTTTTTATTATGTAGAAAATGAAACACAGAGAAATTAAGTTACTCAATTTCTTAAAGTTAGGGAGTGACAAAGCCAGGATTTCAGCTTCGGTTCTCCTGACTCTTCATCACTAAACCAGCAAAGTGCATTTGTGTTCTTAGAATTTGATAGTGTTTGCATGTTCTCACTCGTAAGTGGGAGTTGAACAACGAGAATACCTGGACACAGGGAGGGGAACATCACACACTGTGGCCTGTCGGGGTGTGGGGGGAAAGGGGAGGGAGAGCATTAGGACAAATACCTAATGCATGCAGGGCTTAAAACTTAGATGACGGGTTGATAGGTGCAGCAAACCACCATGGCACATGTATAGCTATGTAACAAACCTGCACATTCTGCACATGCATCCCAGAACTTAAAGTAAATTTTAAAAAATAATAATTTGATAGTGTTCTTCCACCCTAGGAAAATTTCTGTCTGACTGTCTAGTATATTTTGCTTCCAAACCATGCAAAAAAGAATGGATGGGAAAATGAGTAGAGGCTGACACAGAGTGCTTTACTACCTTGAGGCTTTTTTATAAACTCATAAAAGAATCCACATTGACCAAGTCATATTTGCCTTTTATTATAAATGAAAGTGTGAAAGTCACTCCTCCTTAGAAGTCTACTCCAACGTCATCTTTTGAAAGTCTACTGTCTCAGCCACAGAGCTGTTCCACTCAGTTCTCCTATCAAGAGACAACTTGCCACAGAAGAGCAATCAGCCAACAACCTTTGGTTGTACCACCTTTGGAATCTGCCCTGGTATTTAATTTAAGAACACATATTTTCCATGGGCTGCGCTCACCAATGATGGCAGAGTACTCTTCTAGGGCCCGGCCATTTTTTTCTATCATGGAATCCTCTAGGGCAATCACTGAGTTGGCTGAAACTTTGCCAGGGCAACACTGTACTCTGAGGCCCCTCCTATCCAATTCTCCTTCCTTTCCCTGCTCCTTTTCTAAGTGTTAAATCTGCATTATCATTTGATGCCTTTTCATCATCTTTCCCCTCTCCTCTTTATCTCAAATGCGTATTACTTCCAGTACATTTTTTGCGCTTGTAACCTGCTTGCTACCTGCTTCCAGAGCACCTGAACTGACACTCATGATTATAACTTCAGTTTATTGCCTTACCAAAATAAGCTGAGACAACCTTTAAAATAACAGGGCTACTATGTCTTCTGCACAAATCAATTGCTGGTGACCAGGATCCTTTCTGCTCTGCAGGTGGCCACCTGGGATGCATAGTCAATGTTGTTCCATTATGGTATTAAAGGAGAGCAATGATGGTGGCAACACGATGGAAAACTATCTATAAATACTTCCAGTCCCCTTGCCAGAAAAGCTGGTGTGTTCTGTTGTTTCATCCATACCTGTAAAGAACAACCTGTCCCCTTATTTCCATCTGCTGCTTGTAAAAAAATCAAACCTACATTTCCTCAATGAGCACACATTCCAGCCTTTGCTTGTATTAACATACCTTGTGTCCCTTTCCATTTATTAATTCACTAATGAATTATGAGCCACCAGAAGAGATTTCATATCTAATGCTACATTTGAGATCATTCCTGGATTATCATTTCTTCTCCAAAAAATTATAATGGTATGTTCAAGAATAATCATGCACCTAAGCATGTGACTGCATTTTACCTGAACCATTTCCTAGTTCTATTATAAACTTTTGTTTTTCTTTTGCTTTTCAACATGGCATATGTGCTTATTTTTTCTACTCTAGTAAAGCAGCTTGACAGTTGGTAGCTGTCTGGCTGTTTATTCAACATATGTACCACTTAATGCACAGGTCTCAGTGATACAGTCCCCAAAGTCGATCCAACTGGGATAAAAGTCAACAAATAGAGATTTACAGGGAGTACATTTACTTGGGAAGAGATAAATATTTGAAAGGTGTTTAGCAGCTAAGATTTAAGCCTAATGTCATAAGAATTTACAGGGTCAGCCTCTCCCCCAGCACAGAAAACTCTCTTGATTTCACATAGGCACTCCATATGTTAGGAAATCACCTTTTAATTAGATCTCTGTAGCCTCATTCTAAGTTACCACTGTCACAAGCCTTGGATAAGATCCTATTCTCAAGAAACCTTTCACCAAACAGTTAGCCGTAGGTTCTTACAAGAAGATATTGAGACAAATTCTCCCAGATTGCAAGTGATTTTAAATTAGCTGCTCTGGTAAGAGGTGGGTGTGGTGTTATTTCAACATTCTCATATGTTACCTGAGACTTTTCCCCAGGGAAAGCAAAATGTGTTCAGTACTTTGCATTTTTCAAAGTGGAATTGGTCTGGGAGTTGTGTGGTCTCTTCTGACCTACCTAGACCAGAGAACAAGACAAAACCCAGAAATTCCCCACTCACTGTGGCCCTCCAGACTGTTGAAGCATGATCCACTTGACAAGCAAAGCTATTGAAATTTTAGAAATTATCTTCAAGAAAGAAGGCGGAAGTGAATGGCATAGTTATATCTGACAAAAAATTGTATACCAAATTCATTAAACAGACTGTCAGATACCATCCTCCCCAAGCCTTAAAGAAAAACATTGTTAATACTTTCATATTTTTAGTGAAAAAATATATATATATGTAATTGAGGCTGGGTTAAAAAATGGCTTGCCCAGAGTGACAAAGATAAACAACAGCACAGCCCAGATTCAAGTCTCATTTTGTGTGAAACCAAAATCCTGTACTAAACCAGTGTGATCCACTGTCTGCCAACAATACAGCCTATAATGAAGGTTTAGGAAACCTGTTATGCCTTAAGACTTTTGTAGAAGTTATACGGGGCAATGCTATTTGGCATGAGGATCTTTTGACTTTGAAGTTAGTCCAGACTCCAGAGATAAATTAAACTCTAAAGCACCAATTCTCAAATGTAGTGTATCATACAAAAAAAAAAGTTATTATCATTTGCAGACTTCTGTGGTTCTCCCATTCTGGACAGCGATGCTGCCACTGGGGCCCAACAAAGCATTCCCTCTGTCAGCATCACCTCTCTCCCTTGGCAGTTGCCACACAGCTAGGCAGACGAGCTGCGTTCCTGGAGTTTTCATCCTTTCCCTCTGCTTCTGGATTTTAATGGAATGTCTCATCGCAGGACATGAGATCTGACACACCATCTTCTGCATCAAAGAGTTTGGCGTGCAAAGGGACAGAATGATGTAACTTGGAATTGATGGAGTGCTAATTCCCTGTGGGGAAAGCTTTGACCAGTGGGAAAGAGAAGGAAAGGGGACCCAAGAAGATAAAGTTCTTCTTTTTTCCTCACCCTCCAACTTAATAATTTCATAAAGCATGCCCAGGAATATACTGTGTGCTGAGCTGTTACACCTGCCTAGTAACATCATGGCCTATTGGGAAGCAGTAGCCAGACATATAAACACAGCATTCCATTTATTTTCCACATCTGTTCCTTGCCTGCTTGCCCTTATTCCTTACTCTCCCTGCACACTGAAATTAGGTGCATTGGCTCCATGTTCTAGAGAGCTTGGCAAGCAAAGCCATTTGGTGAGAATTACCACGTGGGATTGTTAAAAATGCAAATTCCCTAATGTTGACTTCCTCCACCTTAAACATGAAAACTTTTCTGGGTCATTATTTAATTCCAGATGCTATCCTTGAGTCATATTAATCTATGCATTTAAAAGAGAATCTGTGACATAAGTCAATTTGTGCAAATAATATCATTTTGCTTCTGTCTTTCTTGCTAAGAAAACTACAGTTGTGTTAGAGTCAGTGATAAGCTTAGAGCTGCGCAATGAATGATGATTGGTCTGTCTCAACTACAACACTTTTCGTCAAATTTCCCAGCCTCCCTTGAAGCAAGGGATGCCACCTGCACCAGTTCTGGCTTGGATGGTTCTGGAAAAGCTTTGTTTTACATGACAGATAGGGCTGGCTTAGTATCTGACTCTTCCCGAACTCTTCTCTCCAGAATGCAGACATGATGCCTGAAGGTGCAATCACCACTTATTCACCAGCTTCAGCACCTTCACCATCTAGTCACCATAAAGTGACAAGTAAGGAGAGGAAATCAATATGCCCAGGATGAAAGAGCAGAAAGATAGAAGTGTTGGTCCCTAATGCTATTGTTGCTACATATAATATCCCAAGAGTGCTTTTTTCTGGACTTCCCACATATGGAAAAACAAACAAAAACTGTTTAAGCCATTGTAGTTAGATTTCTTGTCATTTGTAGCCAAATACATTATTAGCTGACATAGATGCTTAGTTTTGTGTATTGCCTTGACAACCTCTTGAAACCCATGATTTCCCATGTGGAACTCACTTAACGATGACATTGAATCCAATTATATCAAAATAGAGGAACTAAAAAGAAAACTCAACTAAAATAGCAGAGCAGAAGTGGAATGCGCAGTAAGTTGATATATCACACAGCCCATATATTGTAAACACTTACAACAAGCACAGGATAAATATTATCTTCATTTTGCAAATAAGGATTGACATACAAGAAAGGGCTAAATATTTTCCGTTGGTATTACAGTTAATAAATAATTGGGACAATATTTAAACAGGAGTGTTGTGATATTTTAAAATGTGTATTTTTGCCCATATAAAGTTTTTTTCTGGAATGTATATTTGGAACAGTGATTGAATTTTTAATAAAGGTTTTACCTTAAACACTATAATGAGATCAAGTAAGTGTTGTGTTAGAAGCAAAGATTTTCTTTCTAAATTCCTTCTCAGAGTCATTAATATTCTAATTTATAGTGTGAATCTCTATAAAAAATAATTTCCCTCTTATTTCAACAGGTATAATTTTTCCCCAAAGTATACATATCAATATCTTATGAAACACTAGTAGTCCAAAGAACAAAGTTTGGGAAAGCTGTATCAACAAATTTCCATGTATTTACTCAGTATTTGTGTAACATACTGGAGTACATAATTTATGACAATAATTCATATGCACACACACATACATAGATATATATCTATCTCTTTATATAGATATATTATACACCCATCCAAAAATATTTAGGTATGATGCTATTAAGTCAAATGTCTTTTCTATAAAATATCCTATGTACCTCACTTTATCAATGCACTGATTTTTTTATTTCCCTTATTAGAAGGGAAATAATTCTAATTCAAAACACTGATTTTTTTTATTTCCCTTATTAGAAGATTCCAAGAATTAAACAAGTATAGGAAGGACTTACTAACTTGTTCTTCACGTAATGACTCTATAGTTGAATTAATTACAGAAATTTCTGCTTCCAGTTTATTTTATAGTCACTGGACCACCCTCTGTAGAATATTCAAGCTGATTCCTGGAGTCTGGAAAGTGAAGGGGTAGAAAAGAAAGCAGATGATATTTAATTTTAAAGTACAACTCATTTTCCTTTTCTATTTGAAGTAAAAGAAGAAACCAAACAAATCATTATGTAAAGCTACAATTTAAAAGAAATTATCTCTATTTAAGACTATAAATTACGAGCATTTCAGTCAATGTAGATATTGACTGTTTTCAGTTTTGCAAGTTTACTACAACAGTCATATGATCATAGTGATAATGGAGTTCTTATTTTAATTGTGAGTTTTGCTTCTACAAAAAAAAAAATGTAGACTTATCATACTCTAATAGATAGTAAAAAAGAAGAGTTCAAACTGTGGGTAGTACAATGACTTTCCCCAAAACAGATCTTTTCCTTTTAAGCCCCAGATCAATAAATGACCCTTTTGATCAAAGAACAAACTAAAATCTCCTCTATATTTTGCTTGTTACTTTCATTTTTTTCCCCCAAGAAAAGATGAAGCCACTTAAGTGGCAGACCAAAAAAGCACTGTGATACTTTCATCCTAGTAAAGAGTTCAAAAAGTAAATAAAACTTTCTGGAACTTATACTTAAGAACAAAGCTAGCACCCAGTAGTTCAATATCCCTTTGGGGTTAGGGGTTTATTCAGAGCATCAAGAATCGGTATTTCCATCTAGACATACAAGTGATCTAAATAGTGTTCATAGAACTTTAAAAGCCTTTTGAAATAAAAAGTAGAGCAAACTACAAAAGTATAAATTCCAAGTTTTCCTACATCACTCCTACTTTGTAGAACATTTGGTCAGGATGGGGGGTGTGAGGGCATCACATATCAATCAGCTATGAAAGAATGCACTGGTCCACGTGGACATGGCACAGGAATAGACTAATGAGAGCCAAGCAGCGTGCCTCTCCTCTTCAATTAGCTTTCTGTCGATTTTCACAGGAGTCCACTGGATGAGGAACCTCTGTGGGTATTTTGCCACCACTAGCAGACCTTTATCTTCTTTTAATCTATTGAAATAAAGACTCAGAAACAGAGTGCAAATGCCAAAAGGTGAAAAGAAATGAGACTGAGGTATATGGGGGAAATGATGCACATATTGGCAGCCAAACTGGATATTTTGGTATTAACTGAATATCTGGGAGTCAGGGGAAACTATCTGCAAAGTTGATATTTCTTTCTTTTTTTTAGGAGGTGATTTAGATTATTTAGTTCATAATTGGATGAGGAGGTTCAACTGTGAATTTTATGATACCAAGAAACACTATTTAGAATATTTTAAATGTTAAGGAGAAAGTACAAAATTTCCCTCTACCTTCACCCTCTAGCATACTGACAGAAATAAAGAAGCACCCACTCAATTCGTATATCTGTATTGTTGCATAGGCAAAGATGCTGAAAATACACTCAAGTTCAATGTCCACATTTTGATTACCTGTTATTTATCTCCTCTTGGCTCCAAGTAGATTCAATACCTGTTTTGCTCCCACCATCACAGTTAAATTCATCCACACAAATGAGTACAGAAATCTAGTTGGAAAGAAAAAAAAAATGCTTAGATATTTATATGGAAAATGTGCCCTGAGGAAAAAGCCACTATAATGTCAGAACTAAAAAATGGCAGTTTTGTATTTGAGCATTTCTTACTGGAAATGTTAATTACAAAATGTGCCAACTAAGATTTGCTATGTTGTTACCAGCTCTAGTATATCTTATTTGCCCCTTTGTCTTGCTCTACATTCATGCTCTGATCTGAATGAGTGATGTTCTTCTTGAATAACCACTCTGTCCAAATTCTTTTTCCCTTACTTTCCTTGCTTTACTAGTTCTCGAGTTTCAGTCTCTATTGTTTTCCTTGTCTGGAACTCCTTCTGGAATTCTGGCTTTATAAAATGCTATAGTGAAGGGTTGCAGGATTTTTTCCCCTCCACTTGTATACTGCCAAGGGACTCTTTTTGAAGACCTTATTTTCACCATCAAGAACTAGGGAGGCAGACCCAGTGGCCTTAAGGGATTTAATTAGAGTTCACCAACTTAGAATCTCCAAGCTCTCAAAGACCTAATTTAAATACAAGTTCACTCACTTTTTCAACTATTTCTTAGGCCCTTATTAAAATTTCAGGTTATTAAAGGGAACATCCTGCATTTTGCAAACACAGAAAATAAACCTGGGTTATGCAGAATCTCAAACGTCTTCCAGGTGCAAACACAAAATCCTGCCAATTGGTAGGAAAATAATAATGAATTAGCTTATAAATTATTGAAACAACCATTGTGGAATTTTTGTCAATCATGATAAGTTACTTTATATTGGTAGCATCAGTTTTATAGGAGATGGTTAAACATTAGTAGTAGATTAGTGAGAGACAATATATAACTTAACATATGTGTGGTCAGTTGCCCTAATATCCTCTAGAAAAAAAGTTATTATTATTATGACTATTCTTAACCCTAGGTGGTGTCATTTTTCTTTTGTTAAACTGTCAGTCAGAAAACTAGTTAAAAGCTAATGATGATTCATATCAATTTATAAAATCTTTCTTGTCAATCAGTGCTCTGTTACACATGGATATGATAGGAGAGCCACTTGTAACATGATTTCTGATTGACAACATTGCAATGTTATGAGAAAAAAAATGCTTGGCTTTTTTTGCCCTTTACTTTCTGCATTAAGCATTGTCATAATTAGACTTTCTAAACAGAAATTGGCTTAAGACATAAAGTGACTACAGTATGACGTCAAATATTAAACAACTAACCACTAAAATCCACATAGCTTTGGCATAAAGAAAAACCGGGCCGTAAGGTAAGGTCTCCCTAAACGAGGTGTCACATAAACAGGAGAAAGACACAAAAAGAAAAACAAACAGTTCACTTCAACAGCATTTAATTGTTAAAGCCTCCTTATATAGATCACTCAAACCAAACAGAAAAAAAATCCATAGAGAGCAGAGAGATAGACATAAAATGAAAGCTTTGCCACTTTAATTTGATTTGGGGAAACTATTTACAAAACACTTCACCATTGCTTTGTTGCTGTTTTATTATTGCAGTTGTTCTGTTTTGTTTTTTTAATTTCCACCAGAAAGAATACTTCTTAGAGAAATAATTTGGAGAACTCTATTATAGCTATACTTTTCAAGTATTTCTCAGCTCACATCCCTGTAATATTATCAGGTAATTAGCACGTGAGCATTCTCAAAGCTAACTCTCACTATAATTTTAATAACTGATTTGAAGATCTGGGTCTATACAGAGAGCTACTTGTAAGATATAGGAAGAATTTAGGTCATCTGTACACGTGGGATTTTATATTATTTATATGCTTTTAGTAGGTGTAAAATCTTAGGTACTTCTCCAGCTAGTATTTTATTCATTTCATTCTTAAGAAAAAATATAGCAGTAAAGACACAAACATGAAATCTTTTATGCCAATTTATACTACAAGTCAAGTCATATTTTAAGCCTGATTATTTTTTGGCATTACTGCACAGAAAAATAGTAAAGTTATCATCTTATAAAAGCACATTAATTCTCAGTTACAACGTTACAAGAATAGTTTATTGGTATAAATTCTCATTCCCAAGATATTTTTCATAATTTAAAATTTTAAAGTTACGGTTTATAATGATCACCCAGGAAAAGGAAAATCTGTTTCTTCAGGAGATGTGTTAAATTTTTTTGCCACTTGCATTCCACCAAAAGATCATGCTTAAATTCTTCCATTAAATGTAAAATATTTTTCAGGTTTGCCTTGTTATTTAATGAAATTTAAAATCAGTTTTCAAAGACAACCACCCCATTCCCCCAACCCTCCAAAAAAACTTGTCATTTCATGACAAACATAGATTTCCTGAGAGATGGAAAACATTCACTGTGAAAATTACTATATTTATCCTTGAGACATATTTGGTAAAATTCACTAATTTGCCCAGTGCATAATTTCAGTATGTTCATAGAAAAACAAACTGTCTTACCAATGACTTTAAAACAGAATCCCTCTGCTCTTAGAATTAGATGGAAACAAGTGCTATGTAAATACTAATGATTGAGTATGATCTTCCCAGGCAGTAGGAAGAAAAACGCTCATTTTGGCAATACACGTACATGCATGCACACACACACTTACATGAGCAATTCTTTAGGAAAGGTCTTTACAACATAGTCATAAAAAATAATTGAAACAAAGATTTACAGGTAAATATTTAAGTCAGAGATCAAGACTGAGTATCAAAAAGTCCACAAAGTACTATTGCTCCTTCTCTTAATGACATCAGTCAGACATTCTTTGGCTCCCAAATGGTTTCTGAAGATTCTGGTTGCACTTAATTTGTTTTACTTCAATGTTACAAACTTTTCTCCAACAAGGTGCTAAAAACAAAGAGAAACCTGTCTTTGGATCCCTCTGAGATCAATTTTTAGTTGATATAAACTAATTTATGAAAAGGAAATGGACTTCCCAAATTTGAAGGTGAATGTACTTTTAGCTTAGAATCGTAATCCCAGTCTCCTCTCCAGGAAGGGTTCATACATCTCAAATTCATGACCAATTGCTACTGTTTACTAAAAAGTAAGAGCCATTGGACATTCTATTTGCTTTAAAATACATCTAAACTAGATTTTTAAATTTTATTTTGACTACAAACATCGGTTGGTGTTATTATGTAGTTCTTTATATTATTGTGTAATAGGTTTGATAAACAAAATTATTATTAAAACACAAATACATTAAATATTTATAATTTAACTATTTCTTCTACTTACAATTCCAGTATCTAAAGAGGCAGAAAGGAGTAGCCAAATTGAGTGATTTCGTGGCCACAACAGACCATAACAAGCCATAATATGTAGTTTAACCCCTTCCATGCCAAAATGGAAGTGAGCAAACTAAAGATAGCCATAACTTAACTCAGGAATATTTTCAGGGAATACCTGATTTTGTAAATAAAATCCCATCCTACATATTTGCCTCTTTTGACTGGGGCATTTGAATTTACAATATTCTTACTATATCTATGACCAATTGGGAAAATAATTTTTTAAAGAACCAATCTACAAAGTGGAAGACATGAGATTGAATAAAATTATAAAACTGAAAATGGGTGTTGTTGAATCAAGAAAGGACTAAAGTTTATTATATTTTTAAGATTCTGTCACAATGCTCTGCTAATCTAAAAGATGTAGGGAGAACACAAGAAAAGTTCCAAGCCCAAGGTTAAAATCACGTTAAGAGTTTCAAATAGAATGTAAGGTAAAAGTTTAAAACATTATATGCACCATCCAAGAAACTGCTAGTTATGGTAGATGAAACATTTTGAGCATTACCATAAAGGAAATAACACTCAAAATATATTTCAGATCTATCACTTTTCCCTTCCTATCCTAATCCTTGCTCTCTTCTGTTTAATTTTGGGTTATCGCAGCACGCACCTACATATATGCACTTAATTTTAGAAAAAAAAAATTGAGAAGCTTAAAAATAGCCAGAAATAGCTCCTCCACTAGTCTCCAGGATCCTTCATTGCTTCTTCCTCAAATACATCTATTTATCATTGACCATCAGTGTATGAGACATATGAGTGAATATGCTCATTTTTTATTTTCTGTCTTACAGTTAGGTTAACAAGTGATGATCAGTATGGCCATTTTCATGATATTGATTCTTCCTGTCCATGAGCATGGAATGTTTCTCCATTTTTTTGTGTCCTCTCTTATCCTCATCAAGCTACCATTGACTTTCTTCACAGAATTAGAAAAAACTACTTTAAATTTCACATGGAACCAAAAAGGAGCCCGTATACCCAAGACAATCCTAAGCAAAAAGAACAAAGCTGGAGGCATCATGCTACCTGACTTCAAACTATACCATCAGGCTACAGTAACCAAAATGGCATGGTACTGGTACCAAAAAACAGATATATAGACCAAAGGAACAGAACACAGGCCTCAGAAATAGCACCACACTTCTACAACCATCTGATCTTTGACAAACCTGACAAAAACAAGCAATGGGGAAAGAATTTCCTATTTAATAAATGGTGTTGGGAAAACTGGCTAGCCATATGCAGAAAACTAAAACTGGACCCCTTCCTTACACCTTATACAAAAATTAACTCAAGATGGATTAAAGACTTAAACGTAAGACCTAAAACCATAAAAACCCTAGAAGAAAACGTAGAAAATACTTCATGACTAAAACACCAAAAGCAATGGCAACAAAAGCCAATATTGACAAATGGGATCTAATTAAACTAAAGAGCTTCTGCACAGTGAAAGAAACTATCATCAGCGTGAACAGGAAACCTAAGAATGGGAGAAAATTTTTGCAATTTATCCATATGACAAAGGGCTAACATCCATAATCTATAAAGAACTTAAACCAATTTACAAGAAAAAAAGCAAACAACCAACCCCATCAAAAAGTGGGCAAAGGATATGAACAGACACTTCTCAAAAGGAGACATTTATGCGGCCAAAAAACATATGAAAAAAAGTTCATCATCACTGGTCATTAGAGAAATGCAAATCAAAACCATAATGAGATACCACCTCATGCCATTAGAATGGCGATCGTTAAAAAGTCAGGAAACAATAGATGCTGGAGAGGATGTGGAGAAATAGGAATGCTTTTACACTGTTAGAGAGCATGTAAATTAGTTCAACCATTTTGGAAGACAGTGGGCAATTCCTCAAGGATCTAGAACCAGAAATACCATGTGACCCAGCAATCCCATTACTGGGTATATACCCAAAGGATTATAAATCATTCTACTATGCACACGTTATGTTTATTGCAGCACTGTTCACAATAGCAAAGACTTGGAACCAACCCAAATGCCCATCAACATCAATAATAGACTGGATAAAGAAAATGTAACACATATACACCATGGAATACTATAAAGCCATAAAACGGATGAATTCATGTCCTTTGCAGGGACATGGATGAAGCTGGAAACCATCATTCTCAGCAAACTAGCACAGGAACAGAAAACCAAACACCGCATGTTCTCACTCGTAAATGGGAGTTGAACAATAAGAACCCATGGACACAGGGAGGGGAACATCACACACAGGGGCCTGTTGGGGGGTGGGGGGCTAGGGGAGAGGTGGCATTAGGAGAAATACCTAATGTAGATGATGGGTTGACGGGTGCAGCAAACCACCATGGCACGTGTATACCTATGTACCAAACCTGCATGTTCTGCTCATGTGTCCCAGAAGCTAAAGTATGATTTTTAAAAAAGTGATGATTTAGGTCTAATCAGTTTGACTCTGTCATTAAGTGTTAGCTTGCTTTAACCCCAGAGGAATACCAAATATAGTATATTGGAATGCTAGGTAAAGATATAACATCTATAACATCTAAGTTAAGTTGTATAAAACCTTAAACTTTCTATGTAATAAAGACAAGAAACTTGAGTTAAGGGTGAAAGAACTGCCAACTCAACAATTTTCTAATAGTTTACTTGTGCCAGTGCTATTAGTGTTGCTTCTGATATGAACTTTCTCTATGGGACTCTTTTAGTTTACTAGTACTCTTTGGAAAATAAGATTAGATAAAACCAGAAAGTGTAATCTATAAATCTTCTTCATAGGATACTCCTAAACTATAATAAGTCACAAGGCATGGAAAGTAAACAAACTACTGAGGGTACCATAAGATGATGGGGAACACCCTTCCTGTCCCCAGAATGTTTTGCATATGTTATGTAATGTGTGACTCTCTGTTCAAGAGTGGGTGCCAGTGTTGATTCTTATGTGAAATACAAATAAAATTTGTTTGTACATAAATTACATTTTATAGATATTATATATTTATCTAGCATTTCAATATACTATATTTAGGTACTCTTCTGGGATCAATGAACCCTCCTATCCAGGATGGAGTTAATAGCTATTTAATACTACCAGATCAAATTTCATAATTCATAAAACCCTACTAAAGATGTATCAGCCCTCTCAAGCATTGGCATCATGATTCATTATGGATTTCCCAAACAAACTCATTTTGTTCTGTCTAGCTCTCAGAGCTTTAATATCATCTGCCCTCATTTTATCTTGGTGTCTCAGTCCCTATGATTTCTCAACACTCAAGCCTTGTTTCTTTGTCCTCCTTCTCCACCACACAGTGGAATTTTTTTCTAAAACTGTCTTCTTCTTTTCCTGTATTCCTGTTCCAGTTCTACATCTTTAAGTTCCCTCCAATTACGTAAGTCCATACCTCTTCTTTTGTAAAATTGCATTGCTTATTGTGCCATATAAATCATCCATTCATCTGAAAAAACACTCTTAGCCTTCTCCGGCCCCCTTCTCAATCCATTCTTTAGTCTTTAGTATCTATCTTTCATTTGCATAAACAACTCAGTGCTTGCCCATAAGATAAAGTGAAAAATCTTTAATGTGGTTTTACTAGGTATATGGCTAAGCTGTGAGTAACAAAACTCAACATGAGTGACTTAAATTACATAGAAAATAATGTCTTCCCAATGTAAAAGTCTGGGAAAGTCAGCTTTGGACTGAATGGAAGCATTGCTTCCAGTATCAAACAATCCAGCATCCTTCTATGTTGCTGCTTTGTTATTCCTCAGGTTTTGCCCTTGCTCTGCAATCTAAGATGGCTATCCACCCAACCACATTCCAAACAGCAGGATAGAGAAGGAGAGAGGTGGCAAAATAGCCTCGCCCTTTAGGAACCCATCTCAGAATTAATGCACCTCACTGCATCATACCATATTGCCCTGAATTAAATAAAAATGCCATACTTAGCCAGTAGGGAGGCTGAAATTTTTAACATTTATTTCAGATGGTAATATCCCCAGCTAAAAATTGGGTATTTTGTTACCAAAAGAAGGGTGAATAGATATTGAGTAAATCCAAGCACTGTTATATAAGGATTGAAAGGCTATCATCAAATTTATGCCTACCTCTCTAGTATTTTCATTCTTTTTACTCTCTCTACTCTAGCAATCATAATTTTTTTTTCAATTTATCAGTCTTCTTCTTTTGCCTGAATCACACTATCTTTCTGACTTCAGGTGGTTAACATCAACTCATTTTCACTCCTCATCTGAAGGTCACTTCCTTAGGGAAAACTGCATCCAACTGAGGCTCCTTATTGTAACTCCTTTGATGCATTCCTTATATTTCTATTTGTGTTTAATTATTACATTTTATTAAGCAGTCCAATCCATGAAGACAGGTCAGTGTGAAAGAAGTTCAAAGTGCCTTGGAAGTATGTAGAAATGAGAAAGGATTTTCATGAAGAAAATATCATATCATAGAGAAATTCTTGTCATAAAGTCAGAACAGACTTCGGTTTGAAAGTTCATTTTGGAAGTTGAACTTTGACCTGTGCAGGTGAAGATGATGGAAAAAGAACTACAACAATGCAGCTCATTTATAGGATACGCTGGACTTCACTGGAGAGAAGAAAAAAGCAAGTTTATTTTTTTCTAACTGTAAGTACTGCAAATTCACTGTGAGGATTCATTTTTCACCATCCCTGAAGTAAAAAGACAGGTCCCATAGATTTTTCTAGTTACCTTTAAATAATTGAAATGCCCAACCATTCTCCTGACCCCATAACTTTAGGTCAGCCCAGTATATTTTAAAAACATCAAACTACTATCCAATTTAAACTGCTTCCAGGGCCTGGGACACATGACATAGGTAAGGGAAGTTAAGAAGAAAAACTTAGTCTTATATGGGTGGAGGATTATACTGTGGTACCCTCTGAATGGCTGCTTAGTCATTGCTGTTTTCTCTCTCATTGGGTGATTTTATGGATTCTACAGAGATGCTTCTGATGAGGCTCTCCCACTGTAGCTCTCACAATGCTGGCACTGGCTGGCCATTTACAACTCCTCCTCTGTTGAAATAGTTACACACTTCAATGTGGTTCTCTTGAGTGGAATTTTTTTTAAAAGGCTACACAAAGTTGGATACTTTGTGTGGGGTTCACATCTGCTCCTCAAGAAACACCCACTTAACTTCTCTAAACCCTGAAACTGAAGCTCAAGCACATGTGATTACTTCTCTGTGTTAAGTCTTTGGGAAGAGGCACCTGCAGCCAGATTCTCTTGTCTTTTTAGGTGTGAGTGAGGATGGGTCATGAGATCCTTCAAATTCCAACGAAAATTTGCTGAACTTCCTGAGCCGTTCTTTTGAAGTTTCTTTCACTTGCCCTGAGGTGAGAAGAAAATACCTCTTTACCTCCTTACCTCCATACCTAAAAAGAAAATAGAATTTGGCTGAAGGTACGTCTTCCTGAAGACTTAACACAGAGAAGTAATTGCTTGTGCATGAGCTTCAGTTCCAGAGTTTGGAGGAAATGAAGTGGGTGTTTCTTGGGAAGCAGATCTGGACCCCACAAAGGAATCCAACCTTGTATTAGCCTTATAAAAATCCACTTGAGAGGACGGCATAGAAATTCTGTGCTCCATAAAACAAATGTGGAATCCAGAGCACACTTAAAAATTATCTTCAAAGAAATCTCTCCCCACCTCAGTATTCAAAATTCTTCTGTTATAGCTTACATGTGAGACAGGAGGCAGTTCTAGGATTAGCTTACTGTCTCTTAGCATGTGCTGCAAGGATAACAAAACATCTCACTTTAGGATAAAAGAATATCTAATTCTTTTTGCAATTATGGCCTTTGTGGCCGGAAATAAAACTAAAAGAGAGGCATTCATTTAACATTATATTTTAATTGGGAAAAAGCAAGGTTAATGTATTTTTCAGAATTAGGGAATCTCTGGTTTACTCCTGTTGGTAGGTAACTTAATAACCTATAGATACAAACAAAGAGACAAACAATAAATTGAGTGATTCAGCTAAAAAGGGAGGATGGGGACTTGAAGATCATTCTTAAGAGTTGAAACTTGGTCCCGTAAGCCAAATATGACCACCACAGCATTTCACTGTGAGATCATTTTTTAAAACACACTATATTACCCATCACACTTTTGTAATCACTTCAAATCTTGAGAATGATAAAATTTGCTGTAGGGACATTTCTATTAGTGACTCTATTATAATGTGATAGAATTGGATGGTCCCACTGGATTTACATAACTCTGCATCTGCTTCAAAAATGATAGAATTCCAGGGTAAAGAAATCATAATTCTGTACAACATCTATTCATAATACAATAAAAAATATATTTTGTGAAGTTCCCGTGCCACACAAAAATAAGAATGCAGTCAATAAGGACAGCATAGTGTCCTCTAATGTAATTTTTTAATTAAGTCATAATCTAGATGAAGGAAAGTGCAATATGAAAAATATTCATAAAATAGATAGATTAATATTAATGATTTCCTATGAACATCCTTTTGAAGGAACTAACCCTATCATTCAATTCTAAGTCTTAATAAAGCAGAAGGAGTTGGGAAGTCATATGACTTGATTCTACAAGAACCAGTTAGTAAATCTGAGTAAGACTGGCATAGATATGATAATCAAATCCAGATCTATTAATGATACTGCCATGAAAAGCATATAAATATAAAAATAAAAGGACAAGAATAGAGCCCTGAGGGACCACACGTTTTACAGTAACTGTTTCTGATGAACTGCTACCCAATATAGTATGCTGTGTCTGCTGACAAAGATAATTACATTTCAAACCAATTTAATGCTGTCTTAGAAATTCCAACTCACATTTCTGGAAGATCTAACAATATATCACTGTCTACTGTGTCAAAGGTGAGTGATAGATCTGACTTTGAGAGTAGGCAACTGTTTTTTTTCCAGCAACTCTCATATATTACTGAACATAAACAGGTAACTTAGTGGGAATCCCAAAATCCATGTTGGAATTTTATCAAATATTAATCATAGATAATTGTGTCTTCAGGCAAAATAGCAAACATATTTCCATTATTTCTTTTTTTTTCTAAAAGAAATAAGAGCTAGAAAACCTGTGTCAAAATCTAGCAGGTACCTAATTAAGAATCTTAAACATTTGTTGAATAAATTTTTATTCATACATGTATACAATTTCAACAGTCAATGAACTAGAGAAGTAAAAGACATATAGAATGTTAGTAAGTTATAATATTCTCCTTCGTAAAATTACATTCTGCCCTCATTTTTCAAGTATGAATAGGGTCAAATAATTCATCAAAGCTGATAAAAAGCAAGATAATATAACTGAATAACAAAGTTTCTCCGAAAATACAGAGAATTTTTGTGTATTTCTTCAATGACTTGTTTTAAGTTAACATTTTTAAGAATAAAAAAGTTAAGATTTATATATGTAATGAATATGAGTCCATACATTCAGATGTGTGAATAAAAATCATTTCACTATTTTCTTTCAATCAACAACCATCTCATTGAAATATGAAAAAGTCAATTCCACTCATTCTATTGTACTTCCCTTGGCAGGAATGCCATGGTTATCAATCAGTGCCAACTGCCACAAAAACATCTGCTTTCCTAATCCTAGTAGTACTTTCAATTTTGCCATTTCTGCTGTCTCAAAGCCCTTCTTTGTGCCTAGTAGCCACTTCTGCATCTTCCTGAAACAAGTTCCCTGAACCAAATTCCTAGCTATTTTCTGCCCTGACCCTATCCACAGCAGAGGTATGGCTATTACAAAGTTGTTATCAACATTCATGTACATGACTTTGTGTGAATGTAAGTCTTCTTTAGTCTCAGGAACATGGGTAAAATTGGTATTGCTGACTCATGTAGTAGGTATATATTTAACTGATTAAAATTTGCCAATCTATTTCCAGGCTAACTGTATCATTTTGCATTCTCAGCAGCAATGTATGAAAATTATGGTTGTTCCACATCTTTACCACACTTGATACTGTATTTTTTATTTTAGCCATTCTAGTAGGTGTGTAGTGGTCATTTCATTAGAATTTTTCTAATGGATAATAATGTTGAATATATTTTATGTAATTATTTTTCACACTTATAACTCTTTGGTGAAGTGTCCAAGTTTTTGTCTATTTATTTAGAGACAGAGTCTCGCTCTGTCACCCAGGCTGGAGTGCAGCGGCATGATCTCGGCTCACTGCAACCTCCGCCACCCGGGTCCAAGCAATTCTCCCGTCTCAGTCTGCCTAGTATCTGGGACTACAGGCATGCACCACCACACCCGGCTAATTTTTTGTATTTTAGTAGAGATGGAGTTTCACCATGTTGGCCAGGGTGGTCTTGAACTCCTGAGCTCAGGCAATCTGCCCACCTCAGCCTCCCAAAGTGCTGGAATTACAGGTGTGAGCCACCACACTCTGCCCTTAATTGGGTTATTTTCTTATTATTGAGGTTTAGGAATTCCTCATATTTGTCAGAGACATGACTTGCAAATATTTTCTCTCAATCTGTAGCTTGTCTTTTTATTTTCTTGATAGTGTCTTTGGCAAAAAAAAAAGTTTTTAGTTTAAAATAAGTCCAATTTTCCAAAAATTTTTCTCGTGAATCATGCTTTTCATGTCATTTCTAAAATTTCTTGGCCTAACCTCAGAGGAAAAAGATTGACTCTTATGTTTTCTACTAAAAGTTTTATAGATTCATGTTTTAAATATAGATCTACGATCCATTTTGTGTTAACTCTTTTGTAAGGAATAAAGTTTAGGTCTAGGTTTATGTGTTTTCAAATGGATGACCCATTGTTCCAACGGTATTTATTTAAAAGGCTCATCTTTCTCCATTTAAGATGCTTTTGCATCTTTAACATTAATCAAATGGCCATATTTTGTAGGTCAAAATTTTTATTCTCTATATAGTTCCCTTTTTTTATTCTTTATATAGTTCTCTTGATTCATACATCTATCTCTTTGCCGTTACTACACAGTCTTTATTACTGTCCATGATGGATATTGATCAATTATTTTTTAATCAAGTAAGTTCGCTTAACAACACGTTTTCTTTGGGCAATTGGTACTATCAAACCCCTTAGTGAAAAGAAGCTTTTATTTGGTTGAGATGGGGGGAAATGGCTAGTGTGGTAAAGAATGTGCATATGGTACCTGGCCTCCAAGATTAGGGCAAAGAGTCCATCTAGGAGAAGTTAGTGGATACTGAGGACCAATATTGCTCACCTGAAAATGGATGTTAGTCATATTCTGCAGAGTTTGAATCTATTTATATGCAGTGTAATTCTTATGAAATACTGAAGGACACCCCATGCAGATATCTGTAACTATTTTCTACGTAATTCTCTTTTTTGGAACTATTTCCTGAAACTTCTAGCTGTCTCAGTTTCCCTGAATTCCAGTTTCCAGCCCCAACTCAGCAGGGCCAGCAAACTCTATTTAAGTTTCCCTCGCTGTGCTCATAATCTAGAAACACCCACTGAGCAGAAAACTTGAGTGACATCGGGGCTCACCATCTTTGTTTTGCTTTTCTCAGAGATAAGAGTCCATTGTCATTGTTACACGAAACAGTCACTCCATGTATTTTTTTACTTGCTTGTTGTTTACAGTAGAAGATTAAGTCTAATACTTAAATCATTATTATAGCTGGAAGCAGTATTCCATTTTTAAAAAAATGTTTAACTCCTTTGAATAATATTGAGTTGGGCCTGTCTGTCTATTTATGTGAATAACAAATAAAACTATATCAATATTTGCATACAGATGTTTGTGTGAACATAAGATTTTACCATGTGATTGCTAGGTATAGTAAGGGTATGGTAACTTTCTAGGGAACACTTGTAAAGTGATTGTACCATTTGCAGTTTTACCATCAATGGATGAGATTTCCATTTGCTGCTCCCATCTTCATGGTTTGTCGGTTTTTGTCTTTACTTATTGTTTCTGTTCTATGAGATTTGACTTTAGTTTGTGTTTCCCTAGCAACTAATGATGTTGAACATATTTTATATGCTTTTGTCTATCTGTATGTCTTCTTTGGTAGTGGGTCTGTTCAAATCATTAGAACATATTTTTAACTGGGATGTTTGCTTTCTTATTGTTTTTTATTTCATTGTATTTTTAAATTTAAACTTTTATTTTAGATACAGGAGGTACATGTGCAGGTTTCTTAGATAAGTATATTGTGTGATGCTGAAGTTTGGGGTATGAATCACATCACGCAAGTAGTGATCATAATACCCATATGTAGTTTTTGATCCTCATCCTCCTTCTACCATCCACCCTCAAGTAGGCCTCAGTGTCTGTTTTTCTTCTTTGTGTGTTCAATGTTTAGCTACCACTTATAAGTGAGAATGTGCAATATTTAGTTTTCTGTTCCTACATTAATTTGCATAGTATTAGGGCCTTTATCTGCATCCACGTTGCTGCAAAGGACGTGATTTCATTCTTTTTTATGGCTGCATAGTTGTCCGTAGTATATATGGACCACATTTCCTTTAATCAGTCCACCATTGATGGTCACCTAGGTTGATTTCATGTCTTTGCTATTGTGAATAGTTTGATTATGAATATACAAGTGCATGTGTCTTTGGGGTAGAATGATTTATTTTCATTTGGGTATATACCCTATAATGGGATTGCTGGGTTGAATGATAGCTCTGTTTTAATTTCTTTGAGAAATCATCAAACTGCTTTCCACAGTGGCTGAACCAATTTACATTCCCACCAGTGGTGTATAAGCATTCCTTTTTCCTCACAGCCTCACCAGCATCTGTTGTTTTTTGACTTTTTATTAATAGCCATTCTGACTGCATAAGATGGTATCTCATTGTGGTTTTGGTGTGCATTTTTCTGATGATCAGTGATGTGAAGCATTTTTTCATATGTTTGTTGACTGCTTGTACGTCTTCTTTTGAAAAGTATCTGTTTATGGCCTTTGCCCGTTTCTTAACAGGATTATTTGGTTTTTCTTAACAGGATTAATTTCATTTGTTTAAATTCCCTATAGATTCTGGATATTAGACCTTTGTTGGATGCATAGTTTGAAAATATTTTCTTCCATTCTGTAGGCTGTCTGATTACTCTGTTGATAGTTTCTTTTGCTGTGCAGAATCTCTTTAGTTTAAACAGGTCCCCACTTGTCAATTTTTGGTTTTGTTGCAATTGCTTATGGGGACTTAGCCATAAATTCTTTGCCAAGGTTAATGTCAAGAAGAGTATTTCCTAGGTTTTCTTCTAGTATTTTTATAGTTTGAGGTTTTTACATTATTCAGTTTTGAAATTTCTTTATATATTACAAATTAAAATTCCATACTGTTGCAAATATTTACAAGTATTTTTAGCCAGTCTGTGGTTTGTCTTTTCCTTCTCTTAACAATGTGTCTTTGAAAGACATGTATTTAACTTTGATAAAGTTCAAGTTCTTAATTTTTAGTGAATTGTGCTTTTTTAAAA
Source organism: Homo sapiens (assembly GCF_000001405.40). NCBI lineage: Eukaryota > Metazoa > Chordata > Mammalia > Primates > Hominidae > Homo > Homo sapiens. The sequence continues at coordinate 91,812,220 of NC_000005.10, read as the reverse complement.
TTTTACCAAAGATATCTTTACCAAAGGCAAATCACAAAGATTTGTTTCACAAAGTTTGTTTCATAATTTTTTCTAGTTGTATTACATTTAGTGATATAATCCAGTTTGAGTTAATTTTTCATCAATATCAAAGTTTTTGTTTCTTTTTGTTTGTTTTTTGTTTTTTGTTTGCATATAGAGATCCGATTGTTCCAGCACCATTTGTTGAAAAGGTAATTCTTTCTCCATTGAATTGCCTTCCTATCTCTGTCAAAAATCAACTAATTTTATTTGTGTGAGGCTATTTCTGAATTCTATATTCTGTTTCATCGGTCTATCTGTCTGTAATTTCATCAAAACTGCATTGACAAATTATTGTAGTTTCATAGTAAGTCTTGAAATAAGTTAGTATGAGCTCTAAACTTTGGTTTTTTGGTTTTGTTTTGTTTTGTTTTGTTTTGCTATTCTAGCTTTTTCTGCCTTTCCAAATAAATTTTAGAATTAACTTGATAATGGCTAAAAATATTACTTGGATGTTTTTGGAAGTTCTTTGAATTTATAGATTATTTAGGAGAAAAGTGAAATCTAAACAATGTTGAATCTTCATATTCATAAACACATCTCTCTGCATTTACTCTCATCATCTTTGATTTTTTTCATCTGTATTTTGTAATTTTCAGCATAAAGGCCTTGAACATATTTTATTAGATTTATATAATTTTGGTGCAATTGTTAAGTAATACACATTTTTATTTCAATCTACAATTGTTTAATGCTGGGATATAGAAATCCAATTGATTTTTGTATATTGACCTAGCAACCTGAAACATTATTAAAGTTACTTATTAGTTTGGTAACTCTTCTGTAGATTCTTTGGAGTTTCCAATGTAGGCAATTATGTTGCCTGTGAATGGAGACAGTTTCATTTCTTCTTTCCAACTTGTATGCTTTCAATTTTTTTAACCATATTGAACTGCCTAAAGCCTCCCATAATATGTTGAATATGAGTTGTGAGAGCCGTATCTTTTTTTAGACCCAATCTTAGGTGGAAAAAATTTTCTTTTACTAGTAAGTACAATGCTAGCTGAAGGGTTTTATGTAGATGTCCTTTATCAACATGAGGTTGCTCCCTTCTGCTCCTAGTTTGCAATTTTTTTTTTTTTTTTTCTGAAACAGAGTCTTGCTCCATCACCCAGGCTGGAGTTGACTTCAAACTATACTACAAGGCTACAGTAACCAAAACAGCATGGTACCAGTACCAAAACAGAGATATAGATCAATGGAACAGAACAGAGCCCTCAGAAATAATGCTGCATATCTACAACTATCTGATCTTTGACAAACCTGAGAAAAACAAGCAATGGGGAAAGGATTCCCTATTTAATACATGGTGCTGGGAAAACTGGCTAGCCATATGTAGAAAGCTGAAGCTGGATCCCTTCCTTACACCTTATACAAAAATTAATTCAAGATGGATTAAAGATTTACATGTTAGACCTAAAACCATAAAAACCCTAGAAGAAAACCTAGTCAATACCATTCAGGACATAGGCATGGGCAAGGACTTCATGTCTAAAATGCCAAAAGCAATGGCAACAAAAGCCAAAATTGACAAATGGTATCTAATTAAACTAAAGAGCTTCTGCACAGCAAAAGAAACTACCATCAGAGTGAACAGGCAACCTACAAAATGGGAGAAAATTTTTGCAACCTACTCATCTGACAAAGGGCTAATATCCAGAATCTACAATGAACTCAAACAAATTTACAAGAAAAAAACAAACAACCCCATCAAAAAGTGGGCAAAGGACATGAACAGACACTTCTCAAAGGAAGACATTTATGCAGCCAAAAAACACATGAAAAAATGCTCACCATCACTGGCCATCACAGAAATGCAAATCAAAACCACAATGAGATACCATTTCACACCAGTTAGAATGGCAATCATTAAAAAGTCAGGAAACAACAGGTGCTGGAGAGGATGTGGAGAAATAGGAACACTTTTACACTGTTGGTGGGACTGTAAACTAGTTCAACCATTGTGGAAGTCAGTGTGGCGATTCCTCAGGGACCTAGAACTTGAAATACCATTTGACCCAGCCATCCCATTACTGGGTATACACCCAAAGGACTATAAATCATGCTGCTATAAAGATACATGCACACGTATGTTTATTGCGGCACTATTCACAATAGCAAAGACTTGGAACCAACCCAAATGTCCAACAATGATAGACTGGATTAAGAAAATGTGGCACATATACACCATGGAATACTATGCAGCCATACAAAATGATGAGTTCATGTCCTTTGTAGGGACATGGATGAAATTGGAAATCATCATTCTCAGTAAACTATCACAAGAACAAAAAACCAAACACCACATATTCTCACTCATAGGTGGGAATTGAACAATGAGAACACATGGACACAGAAAGGGGAACATCACACTCTGGGGACTGTTGTGAGGAGCGGGGAGGGGGGAGGGATAGCACTGGGAGATATACCTAATGCTAGATGACGAGTTAGTGGATGCAGTGCACCAGCATGGCACATGTATACATATGTAACTAACCTGCACATTGTGCACATGTACCCTAAAACTTAAAGTATAATAATAATAATAAAGAAACAGAGTCTTGCTCCGTCACCCAGGCTGGAGTGCAGTGGCATGATCTCAGCTCACTACAACCTCCACCTCCCTGGTTCAAGCAATTCCCCTGCCTCAGGCTCCCAAGTAGCTCTGATTACAGGAGCATGCCACCACACCTGGCTAATTTTTTTGTATTTTTAGTAGAGACAGGGTTTCACCATGTTGGCCAGACTGGTCTCAAACTCCTGATCTCAGGCCATCTGCCCACCTTAGCCTCACAAAGTGCTGGGATTACAGGTGTGAGCCACCACGCCCAGCCTGCAATGCATTTTTAGTCATGGATTGGTGTTGAATTTGGTCAAACATTTTTCCTGCATCTGTGAAGATTGGAGTATGCGGGTAAATGTTTAACAACTGACAGTTATTCTGGAAGACAGAAAGCTATAAACAGCGCTGCTATTAACATTCATATGTAAGTATTTTTTTTTAAGTATCTGTCTTCAATTCACTACAGTTTTCTTTGAATGAGTGTTAATATGGTGTGGTTTTTTAATGCTTTTGCATTCAACCTATTTACATTTTTATATGTTTGTAGGCATCACAAAGCTGTGTCTTGCTTTTTATTAATCTATCTGGAAAAAAATCAGAAAAGAAAATTCAATTGAGTTACTTAAACCATTTTCATTTAAGATTTTACTGGTATTTTTAGTTTGAATCTACCAAATAGCTATTTGTGTGCTGTGATTATCACGTTTTCCTTGTACTACTCCTCTCCTGCCTCCTTTTGGATTAATGTTATATGTTGTATGATTCCACTTTATGTTCTTTGTTGACATATTAGCTATACTATTTGTATGGGTTTCTTTAGAGTTGATAAAATACATCTTTAGCTATCACAATCTACCTTCAAGTAGTCATGTAGCACTTAACATAGAGCACAAAAACCTTAAAACAATATACTTCAACTACCATACCTCCCTCTTGGACTTGGTTTTATTGCCGTATATTTGTTTCCATCTATTTTATAAACTCCACAATATTTTTCATTATTCATTATTTTTCCTTTGAACTGTCAATTACCCTCTAAAGTAATTTTAAACAATAAATAATTATATTTACCCATGTAGTTATCATTCCTAATGACCTTCCCCTTTACGTAGATTTATATTTCCATCTGATATTATTTTTCTTCTGCATGAAGGACTTCTTTTAACATTTCTTCATTCAAAAATGAAGGCAAAATTGACTCTTCAAAATATACAACTCAAAACCTACTATCCAATAAACATATAAGGCAAGCCACATATGTAATTGTTAATCCATAATACCTACATTAAAATGGTAAAAACGGGTAAAATTAATTTTAGTAATGTAACTTGTTTAATGCAATATATTCAAAATATTATTATTTCAATAAATAATTATTAAAAATAACAACAGGCTGGGCTCAGTGCCCCCTCCCTCAATCCCTGCTTTGAAAGACCAAGGTGGGAGGAATGCTTGAGGCCAGGAGTTCAAGACTAGCCTGGGCAACATAGCAAGACGCCATCTTAAAATTAAAAGAAAAAAAATTGCTGGAAATGGTGGCATGTGCTTGTAGTCCCAGCTACTAAGAAGACTGAAGTGGTAGGATCACTTGAGCACAGGAGATTAAGGCTGCAGTGAGTTATGATCGCACCACCACACTCCAGCCTGGATGATAGAACAAGAACTTGTTTCTACAAATAAATAAATAATACATGAATAATATGAATAATAAATTGTACAATGTTTTTGTACTACTTCTTCAATATCTGATGAGATATTATACTTACAGCATATCTTAATCTGGACTGTTTACATTTTAAATGCTCAAAAGTCCCATACAGGTAATGGTAACTGTTTTTGGGCATCAAGGATATAAACTATTATAATCAGCTAAAACAACTATGGTCATTTTTGTTGGCTGAAAATAGAAACCATAGGCAAAGTAGAAAGTAACCAATAGATATTTGTAGGCAAGTAACAAAGTGTATTACACGAACCTCATATGTCCTCTTTTCATGAATTCTTAGTTCTCATAATTATAATAATTATCCCATCTTGAATTAAATTAAATTAACTAAATTTAATTTAATTGGATTTATGATGCCCAAAATATTGATTTTAGGACTATGAGAGATAGAATCAGCTGGCCAGGCTTGAAGCAATGGAGATTGCCACCTCTTTTCTTAGTTTATAATATGAAAAAAAACTGAACCAATTATCCAGGTACTATATGTAGCTGGTACTTGGGGCAAACCTCTCATGAAATGTTTGGGGGCAACTGAATCTGTGTGGCTTTAACACAGATCTTCTCCTCATGATCTGTCTCTTGACGACATCCAATACCCTATGAATCCTTTCTCCAAGGTCTTCCAAGCAACTACGTGCAGGTTGAGCACCCCAAACCTAAAATCTGAAAATCAAAATGCTCCAAAATCTGAAACTTTTTGAGCACCAACAAGGCACCACACATGGAAAATTCCACACATAAGTATATAACATAAACTTTGCTTAATGCACAACATTTAAAATATATTGGCCAAGTTGGGAGGATTGCTTAAGGCCAGGATTTCAAGACCAGCCTGGGCAACATAGCAAGACCCTACCTCTACAAAAAATAAAGTTAGCTGGGTGTGGTGCCACGTGCCTGTAGTCCTAGCTGCTCAGGAGGCTGAGGCAGAAGGATGGCTTAAACTCAGGAGTTCAAAGCTGCAGTGAGCTATGATTGTGCCACTACACTCCAGCCTGGATAGAAAGACACCCTGTCTGGAGAAAAAAAAAGAAAAAGAAAAAGAAAACAAAAATATATTGTATAAAATTACTTTCAGTCTGTATGTATAAGGTGTATATGAAACATGAATGAATTTTGTGTTTAGATATGTGTCTTATCCCCAAAATATTTTATTACATAGTTATAAATATTATAAAATCTGAAAAAAATTGAAGTCTGAAACAATTCTGGTCCCAAGCATTTCAGATAAGGGATACTAGACCTGTATAAATTATTTGGATTCCTCAAGTCCTTTGGTTAGCCCTTGTACTAACCATATACACTAATATTGGGAGAGTTTTAACATTAATTTTTTTTTTTTTTTTTTTTTTTTTTTTTTTTTTTTTGGAGACGGAGTCTCCCTCTGTCACCCAGGCTGGAGTGCAGTGGCACGATCTCGGCTCACTGCAAGCTCCACCTCCCAGGTTCAGCCATTCTCCTGCCTCAACCTCCGTAGTAGCTGGGACTACAGGCGCCCGCCACCATGCCCGGCTAATTTTTTGTATTTTTAGTAGAGACGGGGTTTCACCGTGTTAGCCAGGATGGTCTTGATCTCCTGACCTCGTGATCCACCTGCCTCGGCCTCCCAAAGTGCTGGGATTACAGGCGTGAGCCATTGCGCCTGGCCAACATTAAATTTTGACTGGAAGGTTTGGTCTTTTTTGCACCTTTTTCCAAAATGTGTTTGGCCTTTTTCATATTCTTGTTTCCTTTTTATATCCTATTCCAACTTTTATAAAAAATGGTCTCTATATATGACCACTGGTCTAGTGGTAGGGTGAAGAGAAAATATTTACCTGTCTTACAGACCTCCTGCCAACCTGAAACAATGTTTCCATTCTGGAACCCGCTGCCTTGGAAAGAATGAAAGTCTGAAAATTTAATATTCCCAGGAGTCTAGTAGATTTTCCAATAAAATATTTCCCCTCACAGCCAGAACTATCTAGGCTGTATATTTAAATACCTAAATAGTTAATCGACGTTGTTCAACAAGATAACCCATAGACATGAATCTCTTAACACTAAGCAGATATTTAGGTAAGAAAACTTGAGATCTGATATAGAAGCAGATGAAATGGCACATAGAAAGTTATTCTCTAACATTCTTCCTCTTCTAATTCTATTTTTAGAAAAAAAATAACTATTATATATCTTTTTCTAAAAGTACATGAAGAAATAATTCATAAATAAATTTCTGTGCTCAATTACTTTTTCTTATACTGCCATATTTGGAAGATTGTATGACTGATTTGGCCACTGAAAACGTACTGACTTGTATCTAAATCCTAATTCCAACATATACTAGTTCTGTGAATTGGGAATATGTCTTTATCTCTTTACACGTTTTTTCATATGTGTAACATATATAATGGATTATAAATAATGCGGATATAATACAGGAAAAATAGCATTAAATTATATCTCATTCATAAAGTAGGTAGCACAGTGCTTGATACAGAGAGACCAATAAATGTCATCTCTGGGTCTGTTCTGGTTTGGTTGCCTGTTTGATCTCTTGACAAGGGGTCATTTTTTTTCCAATTGCTTTTGTGTGTGTGTCTTATATTTTTATTTTAATGTTAGAAATTGTGTGTAGAAGAGCAGTAGAGAGTAAAGTAAATAGAACTTATGGCCAAAAAAAGACATGACTTTTCTTTGGTTAGGCTATCAGTGTCAGCGGTCTAGTCAATGTAGTCATCAGTTGAGCTAGGTTTGGGATTTGTTACTGGCATAATTTTTCTTGTTATTGGTAGAGTATAGCAGTGATTTCAACTTTTTCCAGCAGTGGGCTGCTGCTTTCTTGTACTTATTGGGTGGTCTGGGGTGCCAGGTGATCATTCTCAGCATTCTTGCTTCACCTTAAGCTTTCAGAAGACAAGTCATTCCTGTACTACAGAGGTGGTCTTTTCTTACATTCTTCCACATTTTTTTCCCTCAGTGTCACACTGCTGTTGCTTGATAATTGGGACAAGTATAATGGTGAAGCCAGGGATTTTCTTAGTTCTTCTGCTCATACCTCAGTTTTAGGCAAATCCTGTATGCTAAAACTCCTTTTGTTTCTACCTCTGCCTCAGGAAAAGTTGATGTTTTCCTGCATCCTGGGAGTCAGAGGGTCTCCTGACTCCTCTGCAGTGGCTTAGACTTAAGACATCTCCTTTAAATGACAAACGCTTCCAGGAAGTACTTGAAGTTGGTGCTTGAGCACCACCAAATAGTCCTTTCTCAAGTCTTTTGCTTTGCTCCCACTTTTTCATTGACACCCAATGGAATACTATGAAAAAGACCTGGAGAAATGTATGTGGACTACCCATATGCCTGAGGTGCCCAGGGATTCTACACTGTTATGTTAGCCTACACTCAGTTCTTAAGAATCTGTTAAAATTTTTGTTGTTTTCTTCTTACTCACTTCTATGGTGGCTTCTCCTTTCACCCATTCTCTGCCAAATATGAAACAGTTTGTGTGAACCTTCTCTGTTGGAAAGTCTTGTCACCCTTTGGAAATCAGCTCATTTGGTTGCTTTCTAATCTCAGCTGTTTAATGCCTTACTCAAATTATGATTTTTATATATTATGTTGATTTGGTTTTGTTTTGTTGTTATCTTGTGGCTTACTACATCTTAATGGAAACACCTAATATGAAGCATTTCTGATCTGTGATGGAAATGACTAAGTAGATTATTTGTAGATATATAACATGTTATATGATGCTTTATACATGCAAGATGCTCAATAAATATTTAAAATCAAACTCAATTGTATAGGGGACTTCAATTCAGAAGCTGAACTTTTGTAATTCCAATTAGACTTTCATTCTATAATTCAAAAAATTGAATTAAACTATTTATAGTAACCATACATGATCAATAAAAGCTTATTTTACATACCCACATATGCAAAGTATAATATTTAAATAAGTTTTTAGTGGAGAAAATACAAAGTAAGACTTTATTATCAGTATTTTGATTCAATTGCAGAACTTAAAAAAAAAAACTCTAAGTCTATATTTGAAAGAGTAAATACTTTGTGGAAAAGCATTTAAAAATTATAATAAATTAACAGTTAATTTTCCAATGTTTTATACTTTTTGAACAAATATTAAAAGTCAAAACCTAATCTGTTGGATAAAAATAATAACCTAAAGCATTTTAGAATCCTTTGTCAATATATGCATGCTCAGAGCCTTTCTGAAACTTAGATTAATGTTTACTCACAGTATTTATCACTAAGGTATGTTGGAATAACATTGGAGCTAAAAAAAGGGATACAGAATAGCATTTGCATAAGAAGTATTCTTATCAAAATCAAAAATAATATTAAAATTGATATTTATTACCCATCATAATTGAAGTAGAAATGACACAGGATTTTTCTTAGCCACTTTGCCAGCCAGAGACCTCCAGTCAGCAATGCTCCTGCCCAGGTCTCACTTGGCCCCGGGTTCATGACAGGAGGCATCCCACCAGCTTGGCTTGCCAGGCAAAGCTTGGCTTGTGCTCCAGTGCAGATCCCACAGATGCTGCAACTGCACACTCAGCCCCTGGCTGCAGGGGATGTGTGGGTGAGCTATTGTGAGGTCTGGCTGGTCACTGCAAGTGCTGGCACAGGAGCAGGCTCTGTGCAGGGCTTGTGGCTGGACCAGGCATGTCACAAGTGACTCCCATGGTAGACTCCAGTGTCCAGACAAGGGAAATATGGTGGCACCCAAACAAGGAAGCCCACAACCCTGAAGCCCCAGAGAGGGTGCTACAGCATGCTAATAGCTCTTTTAGTCCTGTCATCCACAGCCTCATGGACAGCAGTGTGTTAACAGCTCTGTCAGTCCCATCACTCCACTCTGGCCCATGGCTCCGAGAATAGATTGGCCCCACCACTGCTTCCCATCACATGGGGTGAGTGCCCTTCACCAGCAGAGGGCAAAGGGCCACAATGTTACAGTCTTCTTTGTAATTCCTGTGTTTGGTGGGTCCTGAGTTTTTGTCCCTCATCAAAGAAGAATGAGGTTACACTGATGAAGAGTGAGGAGGGAGGAGAAGAGTTTTACTGAGTGATGAAACAGCTTTCAGCAGAGAGGGGATGTGAGGGTAGTCCCCCACCTAAAGTTGTGTGGTCAGTCTCCCAGTGTGGCTGGGTCTGGGGCTTTTATGGGCCCAGAATGGGAGAGTGCATGCTGATTTGCTTGTGAGTAGGCAAAAAAGGCTAAAACAAAGGCACCACTCAAAGGTGGACATGACAGTGTGAAAACCAGTCAGGGAAGAGTAGGTATATGTAAAATAGGTGAAGGGTGGGGATCAGTCAGAGGAAAGTGCACCAAATGGGAAGCGAGGTTCTCAATCTGGCCTGTGGATTTACCCAGAACTTGTAGCTTGGCTTATAGGCTTTAAGCTGTCTTTGGTTTGAAGGTGGGATTTTACCGGGGACCCTCCCCCATCTGCCTAGGCATTTGACTGCCTCCTGCCACTGTCAGAATGTTCTTAACTAAATTTCTCTTGGATTGTATTATGATATAATGCCTAAAAGATACATTTTTTTAAAAACCTATGTCTCAGCAAAAGCTATACAAGTAGTGCTGAGCAGCATATCATGAAGTCACATCTTGGCTGCTGTCAAAGGCCTAGAGAAAAAAACTTGGTAATACCACTTCACAAATATTTGATCAAGGGTTTCTCAACCTTGTCACTATCATTGACATTTTAGATATGATAATTGTTTGGGAGATGTTCTGCTCATTGTAAGCTTTTTAGCAGCATTCCTGGCCTTTCCTCAGTAGATGCCAATAGCACCCATCGAATTGAAAAAATCAAGTATTGCCTAATGTCTTTTATGTAGGGGAGGAGGGACAAAATCACTCTTGGCCAAGAACTATTACCTAACTTTATCCACTGGTACTGGCACTAGTTTAACCTGAAGCATAAATCCAAAGGTATGGATTTTCAATTTTTTAGAGTCTCAAACTCTGAAAGCTAAAATTATCATAGTGCCTAATGAGCTTGATATGGTTTGGCTGTGTCCCCACCCAAATGTCATCTTGAATTGTAGGTCTCACAATCCCCATGTGTCTGGTGGGAGGTAATTGAACCATAAGGATTGTTACCTCCATGCTGTTCTCATGATAATGAGTTCTTATGAGATCTGATGGTTTCATATGGGGCTTCCCCCACCCTGCCCTTCACTCTGCACTTCTCTCTCCTGCCACCACATGAAGAAGGGCATGTTTGCTTCCTCTTCCACCATGGCTGTTAAGTTTCCTGAGGCCTCCCCAGCCATGCTGAACTGTGAATCAGTTATGCCTCTTTCCTTTATAAGTTACCCAGTTTTTGGTATGTCTTTACCAGCAGCTTGAGAATGGACTAATATGGTAAATTGGTACTGGTAGAGTGGGGCGCTGCTGTAAAGATACCCAAAAATGTGGAAGTGACTTTGGAACTGGGTAACAGACAGTAGTTGGAACAGTTTGGAGGGCTCAGAAGAAGAAAGGAAAATCTGGTAAAATTTGGAACTTCCTAGAGACTTGGGGTGCTCAGAAGACAGGAAGATGTGGGAAAGTTTGGAGCTTCCTAGAGACTTGTTGAATGGCTTTAACCAAATGCTGATAGTGATATGGACAATAAAGTCCAAGCTGAAGTGGTCTCAGACGGAGATGAGGAACTCATTGGGAACTCATTGGGAGGCAAAGGTGATTCTTGTTATGCTTTAATAGAGAGACTGGCGACTTTTTGCCCTTGCCCTACAGATATGTGGAACTTTGAAACTGAAAGAGATGATTTGGGGGATCTAGTGGAAGAAATTTCTAAATGGCAAAGTGTTCAAGAGGAAGCAGAGCATAAAACTTTGGAAAATTTAGGCCAGGTATGGTGGTTCATGCCTGTAATTCCAGCACTTTGGGAGGCTGAGATGGGTGGATCATGAGGTCAGGAGATCGAGACCATCCTGGCTAACATGGTGAAACCCCATCTCTACTAAAAATACAAAAAATTAGCCGGGCGTGGGGGTGGGCACCTGTAGTCACAGCTACTCGGGAGGCTGAGGCAGGAGAATGGTGTGAACCTAGGAGGCAGAGCTTGCAGTGAGCCGAGATCGCACCATTGCACTCCAGCCTGGGTGATAGGCAAGATACTGTCTCAAAAAAAAAAAAAATAGTTTGGAAAATTTGTAGCCTGACAATGTGATAGAAAAGAAAAACCCATTTTCTGGCGAGAAATTCAAGCTGGCTACAGAAATTCACATAAATAACAAGGAGCCCAGTGATAATCACCAAACAATGGGGAAAATGTCTCCAAGGCAAGTCAGAGACCTTCATGGCAGATCCTCCCATCACAGACCTAGAGGCCTAGGAAAGAAACATGGTTTCCTGGGCTGGATCCAGGGCCCCCTGCCACGTGTAGCCTAGGTACTAGATGTTCTGTGTCCCAGCTGCTCTAGCCGTGGCTAAAAGGAGCCAAGGTACAGCTCAGGCCATGGCTTCAGAGGGTATAAGCTCCAAGCCTTGGCAGCTTCCATGTGGTGTTGAGTCTGTGGGTGCACAGAAGTCAAGAATTGAGGTTTGGGAACCTCCGCCTAGATTTCAGAGGATATATGGAAATGCCTTGATGTCCCGCCAGAAGTTTGCTTCGTGGTCAGGGTCCTCATGGAGAACCTCTGCTAGAGCAGTGCAGAAGGGAAATGTGGGGTTGGGACCACCACACAGAGTCCCCACCGGGGTACTGCCTAGCAGATCTGTGAGAAGAGGGCCACTGTCCTCCAGACCCCAGAATGGTAGATCTGCCAACAGCTTGCACCATGTGCTTGGAAAAGCCACAGACACTCAATGCCAGCCCATGAAAGCAGCTGGGAGGCAGCTGTATCATGCAAAGCTATAGCAGTGGAGCTGCCCAAGGCTGTGTAAGTCCACCTCTTGCATTAGCATGACCTAGATCTGAGACATGGAGTCAAAGGAGATCATTTTGGAACTTTAAGGTTTAATGACTATCCTATTGGATTTCAGACTTGCACGGGTCCTGTAGCCCCTTCATTCTGGCCAATTTCTCCAGTTTTGAATGATTATATTTGCCAAATGCCTGTATCTCATTGCATCTAGGAAGTAACTAACTTGCGTTTGGTTTTGTAGGCTTATGAGCAGAAGGGACTTGCCTTGTCTCAGATGAGGCTTGGACTGTGGACTTTTGAATTAATGCTGAAATGAGTTAAAACTTTGGGGTACTGTCGGGAGGGCATGATTGGTTTTGAAATATGAGGACATGAGATTTGGGAGGTGCCAGGGGTGGAATGATATGGTTTGGCTGTGTCCTCACCCAAATTTCATCTTGAATGGGAGTTCCCATCATCTCCACGTGTCAAGGGAGGGACCGGTGGGAGGTAATTGAATCATGGGGATGGTTACCTCCATGCTGTTCTCATGATAGTGAGTTCTCATGAGATCTGATGGTATTATAAGGGTCTTCCCTCCCACGCCCCTTTGCTCTGCACTTCTCTCTCCTGCCACCATATGAAGAAGGATGCATTTGCTTCCCCTTCTGCTATCATTGTACATTTCCTGAGGCCTCCCCAGCCATGCTGAACTGTGAGTCAATGAAACTTCTTCCCTTTATAAACTATCCAGTCTTGGGTATGTCTTTATTAGCAGCATGAGAATGGACTACTACAGAGCTATATATTCAAATATGTCAAAATGTACATACTGATATTTTAGGAAAATCCATAGGATATTCACTGAGAGGAAATTAATATGATACAGCCTTCACTTAGATTTTTCTCAGGTTGCTTCTATAAATCTGAATGTAAGTAGCAACATAAAACTCGGGCATTTACATGGAGAGCATAGTACTAGAGAATCCAGGTCTCTTAAGGCATGCACATGTTGTACAATTACCTAGGTTGCATTAATTATGCCATTTCTTGAGTAACACATAATTTAGGATTATAAAGACCTATAGACATTTGGTTTCCATGTAATTTGACTTTACTGTTCAAAGTTCAGGGAACTTCTTTTGTTGTGCTATGAAAAACAAAATGAAAGTTGGGATTTATAAAATCAATACTGAAATTAGAGCAGCAAAACTATATACAAGATGGTAAGTGACAGATATTCAAACAACCAAAGAAAATCAAAACATCCTTCCCTTTCATGGCATCACAACATTTCTATCATCTCACACCAGTCTTAATTGTCTTCTCAGTTAACTTTCCTCCACCTTTCTCTACCTTCTATAGAGAAGTTTTCTCAGTCAAGCTAATTCCTAGACTTTTAAAAAGGTGAAATGGAGAGCCAGCAGAGAAGGAATGAACCACAGAGGCTTGATGTGGACAGGAGAAAAAGCCTATCTATAGGTGAAGCTGACATAATAAAATCACAAGAGACAAAGAACGGGAGGGAGGTCAGGAGGAAGATGAAAATGGTCTTCCAAAACTAGGATTAGAGATGATTTGGATGGGACTTGGAAAATAACAGGTTTTGAGTCAATGAGGAGTGTGAGAAACTTGGAAGGGGGGACAAGAGGTACACAAGAACAATTGCAAAGTGTTGGAATTAGGTCTATAAAGCTTTTGAAAGACATGAGCTAAAACACTGAATTTTATGTTTTATTACTTCTTCTCACTTTTACTTTGTTCCTTTAAATGTATTCCCTGTAGAATCATTAAATTTAACTTTTTAACAATGAAATCTAGGACTTATTAATAACTAATTTACATTGCTGGAATTTCTATCTTGTGGTAAATGAAACAATATCAGTTAAAATTTTTGAATATTAAGTCACTAAGAGATGCTGAGAGATGAAATCATTCCTTCAGTTAGAATTCCCTAAATGTGGATAGTAGGACAGTTTCCTTAGCCCTCTCCCACTTTCCCTAGTGGCATTGACTTAACTTTGGCACTCAGGAAAAACCACCATCTGGAAACACATGCAGGGTAGTCCTATTATAGAGCAGTGCTGAAGAAAATTAGAAGCCACGCCAGTGTTCCCAGGACAGCAACTCAGTCGATATCCTCTTGATTCCATATAACACTATTCAGTTATTTATGGCATTCCAATGGATCCCCTGCTGCTTGCTTGATAAACCTTTGTTAATCTAAATTAGTCAGTGTTGATGTAAGCCTAGTTCTTGACCTGTGGGTCAGAGAAGGATATTAATTATGCCTAAACTTTGATACCTGTCTGCCAAGTGCCCTCTGTTTTTATATGAGCCTCAATTCTGCTGAAACAATGGAATGTTTATATTTGTAATGCATCACAAGAACATTTCACTAAACTCTTTGATAGCAGCATAATTGTGTGTTACATTTTAAAATAAGGCTGAGTTTATACTTGTGCTTTATACTGGGATCTTAAAGGATGATGGTTACTATATTGAATGACAAATCATTATCACCCAGGACCGGAAATATAAATAAAGAAACAAGAAATAGTAATGAGGTAGAAATGACAATGTTGCAATGTCATCTGCATATATAATTTCTCCAATACAAGTAAGAGAGCCACTCACGAGGCTGTTCAGATGGTTAATTATCTGTTAGCTTCTTGAAGTAAAATCCTATGCCAACTGGTGTAATAGTCATAGCATGCAGATAGAGCAAGTCAAAAATTGTGCCTGATGACGTCCTATAAAAATGGCAAGCACATATTTTGCTAATTTAATTTGAGTTTATGGTTTATATGCTTTTGAAAAATAAAATCTTTATTTTTCACCTCAAAAAGTCACCCACTCTTCCTAAGCAGAAAATTATTAAAGAAATGCAAGCCATTTCACACTTCGGCACTAATATTTCACTTATGTAATATGTTTGCAAATTTGGGGCATTTCACCATTCAGGATATGGCTAGTAGGCTTTTTATTTCCTCTGTTTCTTTTAGAGATAGGGTGGTTATGTTTGTTTGTTTGTTTACTTTTAGTTTATTGGGGGGCTTTATTGTTTCCTCCAAATATGAGACTCTGTGAATGTAGAGACTAAAACCAGTAGAAAAAGATTGGTTAAAGAAATTCGCTCTTATTTGTTCAATATAATTTTCACAAAACATATACTATAAATATTTTAAAACTTTTTTTGAAAAGTGTTTTATCCATATGTTTTTATATATGTTTAAGATTAATTTGTAACAGATTGGCTTTGTTTATATATGTGGCATCTCCCGTGATTCTCAGGCTCCCTCAATTGTGTTTGCAAAATGTATTTCCATAATGCTCAGAATCTTGTACCCACAAAAGACAAAATTCAACCAAATGTTTATTTCACTTCACCCCACCCCCCACCTCCCCCACCACTGATTTCTGCCTTAGGACTCAATGAATTTAAAATTCCAGAGGTTCTCAATAGGAGCAGAATTTTCCTGTGGAGATATTTTAAATTTCATATATTTGTCTTCTGACCTAGCTCCAATCTGAGATTTCTAATAAAGGTAATATCTGTTATACATATATATATTTTTATATATACATATATATTTATATATATATACACACATACATATATATGTACCTATATACATACACATATATGTACCTATATACATACATATATATGTGTGTGTATATATATGCACATATAATTTTATTCAGAGAAGCTGTATCTAGACATGATTTGAATGTTACAAGCAACAGAAAGCACTTCTGACCTATTTAACCAGAGAAGACATTTACTGATATTACATTGACATGTTCACAGTCTGATAAGCATCTCAGAAATGGACAAACCAAAAACAGCTAGGCAAGAGCAAGAGCAGCAGCAAAGTCATACCCCAAAATCCAAACCTCAGAGAAGACTCCTGGCCCATGAGTACCAGATGCTACCCCTGCACTGCCGCTGTAGCTGGCTCTGGGCACTCTGCATGGCACTGACCCTGCCTTCTCTGATGCCCCTGAAATATGAATGATGTTGTTGCTAGGCCACCATCGATCCTGAAAATGGATTCTCACCCTTGCTCATTTGTTTTCTAGTTCCTAACTCAGAATATGGGGTGATGCCACCAATTGTCCTAGACAAGCCAGAAGGGATGCTGGGAGACTGAGTGTCTGGCAGTTTTATCTTTAGTGGGGGATTCCTAAAATACAGAAGTTTAGAAAATGGTCACAAGGGCCTGGGAAGAAAAGTATATGTATTTCACTCTTGAATCCTGCTAATATAAAACTATTTGAAATCCTTCTCTTTATTGGTAAAATATGTACTTTTAAACATACATAATTGCTAATTTAAGTTTACTAACAGTTTTTTAAAGAAATGAGTACTCTAAAGCACTGGTTCATAATACACAAACAGACATAAGCTGCACTAAAGCAAACAAAAAACACAGAAAACAAATCCAATAACACTGAGTGAGAAAAATATACATCACTCCAGAATAATGAATATTTTATTTTACATTTATTTTACCAATCCATAATACTATAAATCTTAATCTACCATGTATTTCTCATATTTTAAACATGGTTATAGAAAAATGAGAAGGCCTGGGTTTAGCCTTGGCTATGCTATTAATGCACTGTGCTCCCTAGGGGAGTCAGCTATTCTCTCTGTGTCTCATGTTCCTATTTCGTAAAATAGGTGCATCAGCACAGGGTCAAAATACCTCTCAGAGTGCTTAAAAGAAATTAATAATAATCTTCCCCCTGGCTAGCTCCTTCTCACTCTAGAGTCCCCTCATCACAGTGATCCTCCCAGACCACTTTCGATTAGCTCCTAATAGGAACTTACACTCTTACCAACCTGATTTTAGTTCTTCTGTCACTCTCTAAAAACATCTTGTTTATTTAGTTGTTCATTATTTGTCTTTCCACCATGAAAATATAAGCTTCCAACAGTCAGAGCAAGGTTTGACTTATTCACCAATGCGTCACCAGAATCTAGGACAGAGTCCAGCCACAGCAGCCATTTCACAAATATCTGTAAACAAATAAATGAATGGAGAAAAGGGCATGAAAGCACATCAGAAAGGTTAAAATATCGATAGAAACTAAAATCTCTATAGAAAATTTTGTCAAGCATTACCACAAAAGTAATCTAAAGCATGTATCTCTGTTGTCAACTCTGTTGTCAACAAAATTTTTACATTTTAGCAAATACTACAAATATGATTCATCTTCCAATTCTGGCAGAAATATATTTTTACATATACATAAAGAATTGCACAAGAAGATTTTATATGTCTCTTTCAAAATATTTTTCTTTTCCTGTAAGGAGAAACTTCGTATATTACATAGACAAGTTTGCCGTGATGAATAAGGTAAGATCAAAGGAGGACAGCAGGCACCTACTTCTCTTTCTTTGGTGCTATGGTTCACCTAATATGCTCTCATTCTTTTGTCTTTACAATGATATACCATTGCCACTGGCCTTCTAAATGCTTCTTTAATTTCTCCCCCCTGCTGCACTGCATGATTTTTATGAGGATGAACAAAGATTACTAGTCCATTTCGATCAGCAGTAAATCTCCCTTTTGCCCTTGTTGCTTCTTAACAGTACTTTTAGTCTTATTTTCTGAAAATGATTAATTCAAGTGGAAAGATACTATATTGTAGCATCCTTGGATAATACCTTTTCTTTCTGACTAACTGCTGTCGTGGATGCAACTCCTGTGCATTGCACTTGACCAAGGTTTTGACACTTTTCTTGTAAGAGCACACCAAACCAGGAGTAGACAGTCCATGAGATTGGCACCATCACAACACATGAAATATGCCCAGATTCTGACATTTTCTTTCCTTATTAATTTGCAGAAGTTATTTCTGTCTTTGAACGTAGGTTTGTTACTTGTAGTATAAAAGTCTATAGTTCCTTAGAAATTCATAGTCGAGAATTTGATGGGAGATGTGGCCTGGGAAATTCCATAAAGACTCAGGTTAAATACCTTAGAAATGGAGATAAAAAGAATTACTGTATTGCTTGTATACACAAAACAAAACTAAAAAATTATTTCCTCATTTTAATATATAAAACAATAGGTTTGTGTAAGACAGTCTAAGGGAGAATTTGGTCAACTGAGGTTGGAAAAGCAGAGTGATACACTGGAGGCTAGAGTGCCAATCCAAGAATCAGTATTTCAGGTTTTATTTTCAGCTTTGTGACATACTTATTTTATGACCTGAGAGTAATAACTTAAGATTTTGGATCTGAGCTTTTCTATCTATAATTTAAGGTACCATCTGAATTTAAAAACACTACAGTCACTAGTAGAGTTCCTGCATTATTCGGGATTATCCAGAAAAAACAGAACCAAGTGTGTGTGTGTCTGTGTGTGTATATATATACATACATATATACACAACAGTGTGTATATATAGAGAGAGGGGGGAGAAGACAGAGAGGAGATTTATTATGGGAATTGGCTCATGAGATTATGGAGACCAAGAACTCCCACAGTCTGCAATCTGGAGAACTAGGAAAGCTGGTGGTTGTAATTTAGTCCAAGTCCAAAATCCTGAGAACAAGGGAAGCTGATGGTGTAACTCCTGATCCAAAGACCTGAGACTAGGTATAGTGGAGGAGGGTCTACGGTTGGGTCCGGAGGCTGAAGAATCAGGAATGTCAATGTCTGAGGGCAAGAGAAGATGGATGTCCCAGTCTCAGCTGAAATAGAGACAGAAAAAAGTCGCCCTTCTTCTTCCGTTTTGTTCTATTTAGGCCCACAACAGATTGGATAATGTGCACTTACACCAGTGAATATGATCTTCTTTACTTAGTCTTCCTATTCAAATTATCATCTTTTCAGGAAATACCCTCACAGACACACCCGGAAAGAATATTTTACCAGCTATCTGGACATCCCATAGCCTACTCAAGTTGACACATAAAATTAACCATCACAGTTCTCAATCAGACATGCAACCTCAAGCTTTGGTTTGCAATTATTTGTCCCAAATTAATTTTGGAGTTCTTGGTCTCCATAATCTCATGAGACAATTCCCATAATAAATCTCCTCTCTCTCTTTCTCTCTCTCTATATATATACACACACACTCTTTTGTATATGTGTGCATGGGGCTTGTATATATATATATATATACATACTCTTGGTTCTATTTTTCTGGATAACCCCGAGAAATGCAGGGACTCTACAAGTAACTGTAGTGCTTCTAAATTCAGTAACTGATCTGTCTCATAGATGCCTGGCTCCAAAAAAGAAAGAACTGATTGTTTGTAAGGCATTCATAAAATACAAGTAATACCACATAGATGAGGAAATGCGAGTGTTTCCTTTGTTAAGGTACTCGTTTGAAACTCACCTTCCTTGAGACAGATTCAGAAAAATGCAGACTAGAAACTGCACTTTTTTATGAGGATGTTTATGTATGAGGAGAAGGGAAATTTTTGTTTGTTTCATGGTGAAGAAGTGAATAAAGTTAGTTATAGACCAACTTTTGAAGAACATACCATTTTTAGCTTTTTAGTTTTTTAATACGCCTTTTTTATTATATACTAAATTATCCGTTCTTAAGAACAATGGAATTGCTCTTATTTTCCCAAAACAATGACAACCCAGTCATCCCTTCTACAAGAAAACTGCCTCAGTATCATCAATGTCCTAGTTTACCATTTAAAATAATTATTTCAATAGGTTAAATAACTTATTAGGAAAAAAGCATTTTAGAGAGATGGATGCTTTTCAAAATATCCTACATGGGTAAACGATGCTGTAAAGGAAAGAAGGCAGACTAGGATGTATCTTTAAAAAAGTGATGGGAATAGGTTGTTTCCTGGCCTGGGACATTTCTGTTCTTGGAACACTTTTCCTAAAAAGGGAGCCAGACATTTTGAGTTCCTTTCTTGTGAGCTTTCCTAAGAAAGGATTTTAGCCTGGTTTTTATCATATTCTCATAAATACTCTGTGCTTTACTTTCACTGGCTAGTGATGATGCGCAACTTCTTACAGCTCTTAAGCCAAAGTTACCTGGAAAGTTCTTCATGACATTTGGTCTCACATTTGGGCCATTTTACAGCCTATTATAGAGACATCTCTATTTTTAAAATAGAAAACTTTCCTTTGTTGCTTCAAAGTTAGGGGCATAGCAAGGTTGATTCTAGAATAATAGAAATATTAGTAGAGTAATAGTATAGGCAAAGTAACAAACCTGAAAATAGACATAATAACAACAAAAGTAATAATAATAGAATAACTTAAGACAAACCTTGCATAATGAAAGATATAGAAGAATTTTATTTTGCAACTACAGCTTCTAGGATTCTTTCTATCTGCAGTCCCACGAATAGTGGGCCCAGAGTGAGCCCATTTTCCTAGGTTACACAGATACTCTGGGTGCTCAAGTTTACTGCTTTAGATCATGTCAAGAAGACTTGGAGAATAGTGCATGGGATACACATTGCCTGCCCCTCATAGGTTTAACAGTTGGGCAAATTCATTTATTTAGTGCTTCTTTCTTGTCATATCTCCAGTTGCCTAAAGCAAATTCAAATGATGATCTCTAATGCATTTTTAGTGCGGAGAAATTTAGACCATGGTTTACATAAAAAGAACAGCAGATGAATGCATATGTGGTGCTTAGATGTATTAAGGTTTCAAAATACAAAAAGAAGCCAAAGTCCTATAATGAATGGGCCATATAGTGAAAAAGGACAATAGCCTTAGTCCAATGTGCTATGAGAAAATCTCTGGGTAGCAGTTGTTAATTGGCAATTGGACTTCTGGAGAGTATGAGAAAGGACAATAGGTGAGAACATGTCAACTTAGGGAAAGAGAAAAAAATCCCACTGGCAGGGCTACAGAACCCAGAAATAGAGCACATTTTAGAGACGAGATAGATGAAGCATGTCTAAATCAGTGTTTATTGAGGCTTTCTTAAAAAAAAATCAGGATAGTTTTAGTATATAAAGAGTGAATACTCAGTATTTATTTTTCTTTCTGGATGATAAAGTATTAACCTGAAATTTTAACTCTTCATGAAGGTTCGTATTTTTTCCCATTGTGTGAGGCTAAAAAAAATTCTGACTAAAACTGAGGCAAAAAAGAAAAACTGCATTGAAAGAAAGTAAATTAAAACACTCTTTTGTTCATTAAAACTTGTCCTTAGTTGACAAAATCCCAACAGAAATAGCTGTATTCCATTTAGTGGGGTGCAGGGAGGGGCAGAGCCTTTCCAATTCTTATAAACGATCAGAAAAAATAACAAACAAAATATTAACTATCCTTTCAAATAGTTCAATTGGTAAATAATGATTAGTGTCAGACATAATATCATAAGGTCAATAACCTTTCATCCCACTGTGCAATATTTTACTGTGTTTGCCCCAGAAATCAGTTACGATAGACTCTACCATTTGTCATGTACATCATTTGGATTTTCTGAATGTACGAAGAGATGACCTTAACCATTCCACAACTAGTAGAAGTTGAAGGTCATGCCATATGTCATTGAAAAGAAATTTTCCTCTAAATTGGCAATAAACTCTTGACTTTGACCTGTGACTTTAATGCCATGAAGTAAAATGTTTTTCATCTTTGCAATTTACATAGAAAACACATGTACTTTATTCTACTGGACTGTTCTTTTACATCTTTAAGGATAAATCTTGTTCTTTTACATCATCAAGAGTTCATTTAAAAGGAAGTATTCAAGCAGCAAGATGTACTTGCTACTAAAATGAACTTCCTTATAGAGAATAGTTTTTGAACAATTTCTCTTATTTTCTCTACTGCATGTTTGATAGAAACAGAGGTAAATATCAATAACTTAAATAATCTGAGAAGCCTTAAACATTGTGCAGTTGAGAATTAAAAATAATTCTTTTCTAAACTCTGTAAATATTTAAGACCCATGTTTCAAAATATCTTTATCTATCAGTTGTTACCTTTTCTCTGCACGTGACTTGTTTCTGTGAAAAAGAGAAAGAACTTTGGTTAAATACTCTGTCGCAATTAATATATTTAACATCTTATATAACACCATTACAATTATGCAATTTACAAACTGGATTTTATCTGCCAAATGCTCTGTAAGAAAAATGCAATGTATTCATATACCCCTAAAATCTAAAGTTGTATTTTGTTTAGTTCAAAACGCATCTTTCAGACCTTTCATTTAATTTCATTTTCTATCATACATACCTTGTAGATGCAGTTTGTGTTTCTTAGTGGAAAAGAAAATAAAATGTTTCTAAAGACTTACTTAGAGCCACCAACGCCAGGGTAATTTTTATATTTTTTATAGAGATGGGGTTTTGTTATGTTGCCCAAGCTGGTCTCAAACTCCTGAGCTCAAAGCAATCTGGCTGCCTCAGCCTCCCAAAGTGCTGGGATTACAGACATGAGCCACCCTGCCCAGCCTGAATACTTTATTTCTATTTTACTCACTTATTTGTGTATCACAAGTGATTGTTGCAATACATTTAGCATTCCATCTTATAATATGTGCAAAATACTCATATATTTCATATTTTAATGACAACAACTTCATTCATTTATTCATTTTTTAATTTCTTCTCTCTTCTCCTATGTGATTATGATCTTTCTCTGGGCAATAAACACACTGGAGTCATCTTTTTGCATTAATATTTGGCACGTATGGAAAACTATAAATGTGTGTTGGATATCGGTAAGGAAAGGAAAATAAAATCCTATACATTTAGTATCTGTTAATTATGAAGTATTTCATTTAGGAACTTTTTCTAAAACTTCCTCTTTAGAGTTGCAAGTGCTTGAGGTATTTTAGTGTACTATGTTTGGGTTTGAAACTTGGCTCCTACACTTACTAATTATGAGAATTTGGACAGATACTTGGCCTTGTATTCCTTGGGTTTTCCACATGTAAAATGGATATGATAATTGTAACAACCATATAGAGTTACTAGTAGGATAATTTGGGCTATTATAGGTAAGATGTCTTGAGCAGTACCTGGTACATAGTAAATGCTATGATTATGGTTGTCTTTTATTAATGTTTATTTATTTAAATGTAGAAATAATACCTACTGCATAGGTTTGTTAGCACTAAATGAGACAGTCACTGTAAAGAAAGTAACACAGTGTTCAGGTAGATTGAACGTGGGGTATGAGAAACCAGATTCAAGAATGACTAGGGCTTTTCTCCTGAGCAACTAGAGGCAAAGAGCTGTCAGTAATCGAGATGAGGGAAACTGTGGGAGGAACATCTTTAGTAGGAGTAAATCAGGAGACAATATTGGAAATGTTAAGTTTGCAACTTTATTAAATAATTAAATATAGATTTTGAGCAAGCAACTGAGTATAGAATGAAAAAGAAAAAATACAAATCAATAATTCTAAAATGAAAGTACACACTTGTCCTTGAAGCCTAAATTGAATTATTTAAACCATTTTATATAACAATGGTTTCTAATTTATTAGATATTTGGGACCTTTTCAAAAGCAGATGACAGACACATGAACATATACATACAAAATATGCATACATTTAATGTTTATGCTTTGGTGATTTTATCTATATAAACCATAGAGACAATGCTGAATAAAAGTCTGATCCTCTTTTTCTAATTTTTTGTGCAAAATAACACTCACTTCCTGTAAACAACTTTAGTAAGTTGCACAAGCAAAACCAAATATAAACTTTATTTCTTCATAAAAGTTAATTTCAATAGACAGCTGCTGTTATTTGGCTTATATGGGAAGCTGAAAGTATATACAGTATATTCAATTTGTTTAATGAATTCAAAATGTTTTATTCTGATGATAGCAAAGTTTTAAAACCAAAATTCATAGAACTACCTTCTACCAAATGGTATCAGAGTTCTCATAGTTTACTTCAAAATTCTCATTGAGTTCTGTCAAAGAGCAACTGCATTTTCCAAGAATCTGAATTGAATTTCTACCAATTTCTTTGTCTGCAAACCCATGGAATCATCTGGTAAGATCTTATCAACCCTCATAAAAAACGTATTCCAGTATTGAAATATTTACATGGTTATCTATCTCAGATCTCCTCTTCCAAAATTGTGGTTTGGCAAAAACATTTCTAATTTTAGCAGCATTAGTCATGGTAACTATAAAAAGTTGAATGAGTCTACTTTTCTCTTTCCTAAAACCAAACCTGTTATACAAGTTACCTAAACAGTGATTAAAACTATTCCTATAAAACTGTTCTGAATCAGTTGTAGCAGTGAACAATAGAAAAGGAAATTAAAACCACAGTTCCACTTAAAATAGCATAAAGAGGATATTACTCTTACGAATAAATTTAACAAAAGAAATGCAAAACTTTTACTCTGAAAATTACAAAATATTGCTGAGAGAAATTAAAGAAGGCCCAAATAAATGGAAAGATACCTCATAGACCAAAAGATTTAATATTCTTAAGATGGGACTGTACCTCAAATTGATCTATATATCCAAAGCAATTCCTACCAAAACCCCAGCTGGCTTTTCTGTAGAAACTGACAAACTAATATTAAATTTCATGTGTAGATGCCAGGAACTCAGAATATCTGAAGAACATGATTTTTAAATTATTGCTTTATGAAGTCGTTCCTTAAGTTATACAGAAAAAAGAATAGAGTTATAAAGTATATCTACACTTTCTTTCATATTTATCTATCTAGCTACCTTTGCTGATGTTTTTTATTTCTTTGCATACATTCAAGTAAGTATCTAGTGTCCTTTCATTTGAACTCAAAGGACTCCTTGGTATTTTTGTAGAAAAGATCTTCTAATGACAAATATTCTTAGTTTTTGTTTATCTGGGAATGTTCTGATTTCTTCTTTACTTAATGAAGGATAGTTTTACTGGGTACAGAATTCCTGGTTCACAATCTTTTTTCTTTCACCATTTTAAATACATCATTACACTGCCTTCTGGCCATCATGGATTCTGCTGAGAAACCTAATGCTGATCTTATTATAATATCATCAAGTAACAAATCATCTTTCTCTTGTAGTATTCAAGAATTCTCTTTATCTTTAGTTTTGACAGTTTGATTATGGTATGTTTAGGTGTGAATCTCTTTGAGTTTATCCTATTTGGAGTTTTTTGAACTTTTTGGATGTATTTATTAAAACTTTTAATCAATTTGAGAATTTGTTGGGTTTTATCTATTTAAATATTATTTTTGTCCTTTTCCCACTTTCCTCTGCTTTTGAAACTTCTGTTATGTACATATTAGTATGATTGTGTCCTAATGTCTCTGAATTTCTGGTCACTTTACTCATTTTTTACTTTGTGTTTTATACCGAATTTTCTCAGTTGACCTATCTTCAAATTCACTAATTCTTTCTTTTGCCAAATCAAATCTGTTCTAGAGCATTTCTATTAAATTTTTAATTTTAGGTATTATACTTTCCCACTTCAGAATTTCCATTTGGTTCTCTTTTACTATTTCTATCTCCTTATTCATATTTTCTCTTTTGATACATCATTGTCATACTTTTCTTTAATTATTTATACATTATTTTCTTTAGTTCTTTATATATATACATATAATAGGTGATTTGACATCTTTCTAAAGTCCAATATTTGGGCTTCCTCAGGAACAGGTTCTATTGATTACTTTTTTTCCGGTGTATTGGTCATACCTGTCTGTTACTTTGCACATTTTGTAACTTTTCTTAAGAACTCGATATTTTAAACAAAATAATGTTTCAATTCTATAAATGTAATTGAATATTCCCACAACTAGTGCCCTCCCAGCAAGAAATCATTGCTGATGTTTGTTTGCTTAATCATTATTTTGGACTAAATCTGAAAATTATATATTCTGTTGTGTACGGCCACTGAAGTCTCTGGTTGTTTGGCTTAGTGGTCGGCTAATTATTGGACCAAGATTTTTCTAAATCTCTTGATCCAGTAAGTCTCCCAGCCTTGGCCAGGCATTCTTCATGTGTTCAATAACACATATTTAACTCCTGCCAGTAGGATTACAACTCTACTTTAGCCTTCAATTCTTGCTAGTACGGAGCCTCTAAATCGGGGAGAGGGGGAAGATTACCCCCTTCTCATATCATTCTTGGATATATGTACAACCCTCTACATCTTTGTGGCCTTATGGATTTCCAGAAATATGTAGGCACTTTACAAAGCCCTTTATGGTCATTTTATTCTTCCATTTTCTTCTTCTTCTTTTTTTTTTTTTTAGCAGCTGATTGCTAGCCCCAACTGTTATTGCTTCCTCAGGTAGCTGTGACGTGAAACAACTGCCACTAATTTTTCATACAAATGTGCTGGAGATACAGCTGTACACACAGAGAGAATTCTAAATAGTATCAAATAAAGACAAACCTCGCCTGTAATCCCAGCACTTTGGCAGGCCGAGGCAGATGGATCATGAGGTCAGCAGTTTGAGACCAGTCTGACCAACATGGTGAAACCCTTTCTCTACTAAAAATACAAAAACTAGCCAGGCGTGGTGGCACATGCCTGTAATCCCAGCTACTCAGGAGGCTGAGGCAGGAGAATCACTTGAACCTGAGAGGCAGAGAGGCAGAGGTTGCAGTGAGCCAAGTTTGCGCCACTACACTCCAGCCTGGGCAACAGAGCAAGACTCCTTTAAAAAAAAAAAAAAAAAAAAAAAAGACAAGCCCCAAGGAGGAAGCTTTTCAGACAGGGCAAATAGTAAACATTCTCTGAAGATAGAATTCTGGGGGAGTTTGAAACCTCTCATCCCCTTATGTAGCTGCTAGGCCACTGCCTTTCACAGATAAGGCCGTTGATTTTCAAGTTTAGTGTGGAGCTACTATGGTAAGGGGCACGGGGATGGGGAACGCTTGCAGCTCACTGTTCTTACTGCAATTCAGATAATGCGCCTTTTTTTATTAGCAGAAAGGAAATTTATCCTTCCTCAAAATGTAGTAACAAGTATTTACTTAATTTACAGAATTCTGAAAAAGGTAATTTTAACATTTTTCGTCACTTATTTTCTTGCTTTTACGGAGGAGCAGATTGTTGGGTGTTCTTACCTCCTCCATTTGAAAAGTGATTCTCATAAT
Organism: Homo sapiens; assembly: GCF_000001405.40. Taxonomy (NCBI): domain Eukaryota; kingdom Metazoa; phylum Chordata; class Mammalia; order Primates; family Hominidae; genus Homo; species Homo sapiens. The sequence goes on along the minus strand of NC_000005.10, from coordinate 91,784,958 downwards.
GTTTGAGAAGTCTAACAGCATGGCTATTCAAAGATCATAAGGATTCTAAAACATGCTCAGTTAAGTCATTGACTACTTGAAATCAAACCATTCCAGCATTACGTTATCTCAATATGAGCATATCAGTTCTTATTTATTTTACCTTTACTTTTGATTTACCCCCTTGTTATTATTTTGAATATGTTTTAGAAGCAGGCAAAAAGAAATATGTCTGGAGGAGAAGTAATGTTGGATGGGTACATATGATGTGCAGGGAAGTTTGGAAGCCTTCCCTTCACAACATCTCTCTCACACAAAACACTACGCATGCACACACACACACACTTATCAGACAATGTAGCTCTGTTTCCACCTTCCCTTAAGTGGTTTTTTATAATTTAAATCTCCAGCTACCTGGGAGAACCATAACATAGGCCTTCTCAAATTAGTATTCTTTACATGACAATGATAGCTCAAAATATAAAGAAATAATAAAACTGAAAATGTCAAAATAAAATATTTTTCAAATATTTAAAAGAAAAAAACTTATAAATCCTTTATCAGCTGAATAGTCTAATAAACATAACAATTAATTGTTTTGAAAAGTTAACCCTTTTCTCATTCACCCCCAGAATACTTGCTGGTGACGGTTGCGGTTGCAGCGCTTACCCTGAGATAACTTTGCCATACAGTATCTTGCTTTTACTATTATTCTCTCATTGCCCTAGTATACCTACCTTGGAAACAGAAGACATTTTCTATTTATAGCATTCTGATTTTAGTAATGGTATTTCCATTTAAAAACACAGTAATTCTCGATTGCTGAAAATGTCAAATTCTAAAAAACATAGCATTCTTTTTTTTATTGTACTTTAAGTTTTAGGGTACATGTGCACAACGTGCAGGTTTTTTACATATGTATACATGTGCCATGTTGGTGTGCTGCACCCATTAACTCGTCATTTAACATTAGGTATATCTCCTAATGCTATCCCTCCCCCCTTCCCCCACCCCACATCAGGCTCCAGTGTGTGATGTAAAAAACGTAGCATTCTTACATGTGATGTTAACATCGTTCCCAAACAGTTGTTGGCCAAAGATTCAATTGATGAATCTGATTTTTCTGAAATAGATTATTCTGATGTTAGTTGTGTTTAGAAATAACTCCAAGAACAGTTTTTATATTTTATTTTCACATTGAAAGTCAGTCAGATTTGCTTCAGCCTTAAAGAGGGTGTTTGTGTAAAATTAAATGACCAAAACAGCATGGTACTGGTACAAAAACAGACACATAGACCAGTGGAACAGAGTAGAGAGCAGAGAAATAATGCCACACACCTACAACCATATGATCTTTGACAAAACTGACAAAAAAAAGCGGTGGGGAAAAGAATCCCTATTCAATAAATGGTGCTGGGGTAACTGGCTACCTATATGCAGAAGATTGAAATTGGACCCTTTAATTTTACCATACACAAAAAACAACTCAAGATGGATTAAAAACTTACATGTAAAACTTAAAGTAGAAAAACTCTGGAAGATAACCTATGAAATAGCATTCTGGACATAGGACCTGGCAAATATTTAATAATGAAGACACAAAAGGCAATGGAAAGAAAACCAAAAATTGACAAATGGGATCTAATTCAACTAAAGTGCTTCTGGACAACAAAAGAAGCTATTAACAGAGTAAATAGACAACTACAGAATAGGAGAAAATATTTGTAAACAGGGCATCCAACAAGCTTTAATACCCAGAATCTAAGGAATTTAGACAAATAAACAAGTTAAAAACAGCCCCATTAAAAAGTGGACAAAGATCATGAACAGACACTTTTCAAAAGAAGACATACACATGGCCCACAAACATATAAAAAAATGCTCAGCATCACTAATCATTAGAGAAATGCAAATCAAAGGCACAGTGAGTTACCATCTCACACCAGTCAAAATAGCTATTATTAAAAAGTCAAAAATAACAGAGGTTGGCAAGATAGTGGAGAAAAGAGAACGCTTATACACTGCTGGTGGGAATGTAAATTAGTTCAGCCATTGGGGAAAGCGGTTTGGTGATTCTCAAAGAACTTGAAACAGAGCTACCATTGGAACCAGCAATCCGATTACTGGGTATATACCCAAAGGAATATAAATTATTCTACCATAAAGACACATGCACGTGTATGCTCATTGCAGCACTATTCACAATAGTAAAGGCATGGAATCAACTTAAATGCCAATCAATGGCAGACTACATCAATAAAATGTGGTACATATACACCATGGAATACTACACAACCATAAAAAAGAACAAGAACATGTCCTTTGCAGGAACATGGGTGGAGCTGGAGGTTACTATCCTAAGTGAACTAACACAGGAACAGAAAGTCAAATATCACATGTTCTCACTCATAAATGGGAGCTAAACATTGAGTACACACGGACACAAGGAAGGAAACAACAGACACTGGGTCTTACCTGAGAGTGGAGGGTGGGTGGAGGGTAAGGATAGAAAAACTACCTATCAGGTACCATGCTTATTATCTGTGTGATGAAATAATCTCTGCACCAAATGCTAGTGACACACAATTTACCTATATAGCAAACCTGCAAAGATATCCCTGAGCCTAAAATAAAAGTTTTAAAAAAAGAATTTCACTTTGCTGCTTCTTGTTAATTTCACATGATTCTGCAGGCAAATCATTGCACAATATCACACTAATTCCTCTACTCTATAAACTATATAATTATTGCTAAAATGGTAGTCTAAAGCATTGTATCAGAGTATCATAAGCCATATTAAAATCTTATGATAAAGTAAAACAGAAGACACAAACCAGTCTTGCATTTGAATGTGTATACAAAACTCCTAAATAAAATACCAACTCACTGAATTCAACAGTGTAATAATCTGTACAATTTAGAGATGAAAAGATAGTTTCAACATTGGAAAATCTAATGCAATTTATTATCAGAATACAAGATGAAAAGCATTATAATTTGATAATGAAAGAACATCAGTGATGAAATTCAAAACAAATTTCTAATTTGAAAAAATACCTAAAATATAGGAATAGAAGAACACTATAAAGATATCTACTAGACACAGAGAACAATTATTATGCTAATGGAAAAACATTAAACATTTCCACTAACGACAATGGTAACACAAGCTGCTTGCTGCCACTACTGCTATACAGCTTCATTTTGATTGTATTAACCAATTCAATAAAATAAGAAAAATAAGTAAGAAGTATCAATACACAAAAGGCATAAATTAAAGCCATTGTTGTTTAGAGACAAAATATGCTAACAGAGAAAAGTCAAAAGGTAAAATAAATACATATGCACATATACAGAGAGAGAGAGAAACTTTTTATAAAAGTGATATCAACTCCAATTACAAATTCATAAAATTCTATTCACAGTAACAAAATAATAAAACATATATAAGAAGAACTACTTAATTAAGGAAATCCTCCATATTCTTCTATGAGAAGAATCAATATTGTGAAGCTGCCAGTTTAGCAGTTATTCTGTACATTTGTGGTATAGGCAACCTCTAATATAGTCCCTGACAACAGCCACCTCCTGGTTTTTATGTCCTTGTGTAGTACCCCCCACCCCGCCCACTGCTTTTACTGTGAACTGGACCTAGTCACTCACTTCTAATGAATGAAATATGGCACAAGTGATGTGTTGTTTCTTCTGACTTTAGATTACAAAAAAAATTCTGGTTGTCTCACTCCCTCTTTTTCATTCTGTGGCTGGTTCTGAGGGAGGTCCAGTGACCATGTTATATTCTGGTTTATTAAAGAGCAAAGGCAGCAAGAAACTGAGAGCAGCCTTTGGTTAACATTCAGAGATAAAATAAGGCCCTTGGTCCCATAGTCCATGAGGACCTGTATCTTGACACCCACAAGAGTGAGCATGGAATCAAATCCTACCCCACTCAAACCTTGAGATGACTGCAGTCCCAGCTGACACCTTGATTGCAGCCTTATGAAAGACCTTGAGGCAGAGGCACCCAGGAAAACTATCTTGGGGCTGACTCCTGACTCACAGAAACTCTGAGATAACATTTTTTCTATTTGATGAAGTTAATAGTGTAGTTGTTTTAAGTTACTAAATTTTGGAGTAATTTGTTACGTAGCAGTAGGTAAGTAATATAGAATCAAATACAAGAAAACCTTCTATGGAATTTTAAAAGCTAATATTAAATTGCATCTAGAAAAACGTTAAAGAATTACCATGACAATTCTGAAAAAAAAGGGCCATAAAAAGAGGGTTTGTTTCCAATCATGTGTTGTAAAATTAAACCATTAAAACAAGATGTCTCTTGATTTGGTATAGACACATAGATCAATGAAAAAGAATAAAGAGCTCAGAAACAAAGTATGCGCATTTAGAAATAAAGGGAGCATTTGAAATCAGGGAAATGACAGATGATTCAAGCAATAACTTTGAGACAGTTGAGTTTCATCTTGGAAAAAAAGATGAATAAAAAAGGCAACATCATAATATAAACCAAAAATTAATTCAAGGTGGATTAAAGTGCTGAAAGTTGAAAAGAGAACTATGTTTTATCAGTTGGTGAAGAAGTCCTTTCTAAATAAAACACAAAACCAAAAGACATAGAAAAAATCGGCATATTTGACTACATAGAAATGTAATTCTCCTGAATGGTTAAATATACTATTAACAGACTTAAAACAGGAGGTCCAGACTGGGACAAAATGTTTGGAAAATATGGAATAAAGAAGGGGTAATGGACATAATCTAGAAATGGATTCTACAAAAGAAAATAAATACGTCCATAAGATATTTTAAGAGACAATTCAAATGGATATGTATGTACGTACATTATATGTATATTGTGTGTGTACAGTTGATCTTTATTATTTATGATTTCATATTTGAGAATTCACCTATTCCCTAAAATTTATTTGGAACCCTCAAATCAAAACTCTGGCACCTGGTAGTGGGGTACCCTCAGGCAAGCCATTTAACATTCCTGAACATTTTCTCTCTTGCAAAATAAAAAATAAACAAAAAGAAGAATCTACTAGGATGAGTTGTTTTTTAGGATTTAAAATTATAATATATGTAAGATTATGTATCTATAAATATAGATACATAAGTATGTATATACTTTCCCGAGGATCAATGATTCAGTATTTGCTAATTCAGAATTTGCAACAATTTTATAGAATATAGATAACAGAGAAAATAAGAATGGATTCTGTGTGTGTGTACATATGTATAATAAACATGTAAAATTGCTCAACCTCACCTGTAATAATGGAAATGCATGTAAATATCATGATATATTTTACTAGTAGATTAATAAAAATTAAAGATCGGTAATTTAAAATATAAAAATATGAAGAAAGTCTTATCAAGTCTTATCAACTGTTGAGAGAGGACACTAATACAAATTTGTCACAGATCATTTTACAATATTTATTAAAACCAATCAGTTACTTAGAAATTCATCTCGCAGATAGTATAAGGATTTCTTTAGATTTTTTTGTAAACAAAAAAAGTAAAAATAATCCAAATATCTATCAGTAGGGAATGGTTTAAATTATTTAGGCACATTCCTACTCAAAAATACCATAAAAAATAAGAAAACTAAAAGGTGTATACAGCAAAGTATTGATGTTCATTTTATTATCAAGTGAAAAATAAACTGGCTGTGGACTATTTATAATATATACATATGCAATGTGTACTTCTTTTATGTACACATGCATACACATGCATCCAAGATATAAATATATCATTGTGTAAATATATAGGAAAAGACCTTGAAGGATACTATCCAAATCGTTAATGGCAGTTACCTGCAGTAAGGCAGTGGAATTTTATTGCGGGCGATCCAGGTGACCCTGAGATTTTGTTTTTGCTTTTGTTGCTGTTTTTCATGTAATATTATTATTCTTGAATATTTTCACTTCCTTAAAGGGAGTATTCATCCTTGTATTACTTTCATAATTTAAGTTTTATTTGCCACTTAACACTCAAAAATTTCACCCACATAAACATGTCACAATTTTCAGTTTATCTTATACTTCTTAACCTAGAAAAATTTTTATTTTCCTATTGTTATCTCCATTGCCTATTTAGTATAAAAGTGACTGCTACATTTCAATAGCAGTGAATTGGTTTCCTTTCCTCTATAAAGTTAACACTATAAAGATGTATGAAACCCAGTGCCCACTAACCAATCCAAAACTTCCTAAATGGACATAGAATGTATTTCTCCCTTATAAAAACTTGGCGGAACTCCTCTAATTTGTTTATTGAGGAATATTTAGGCATCGGGCAACTCTGTTCAAATTTAGGCAAAACTTCCAAAACGGATTTGATTCATTCAGAGGCTATAAATTGTTCCAGTAGAAGTAGCACTAGCTTTATTTTTCCTAATGAAATATCATGTCATACATGGCAACAGAAAATATGCTATTTTGCAAGCCCCAAAGTAACTGTTACATGTGTCTAAAAGATCACTTAATTTATTTTTAATGATTCAAATCTTTTCTCAGGGTCAAAGGCGTCTTTTACATTAACTTGCTTTTACAAGTTAATGTTTTGAAGGAAACAGTAAAAGTCAAGTTGCTTGGGAGTACATTAAATTATATGCTAGTTAATAGTGTTAGAGACATGGCTTAAAAATAAATTGTCCATAATACCTTTTAATAAAGGTGCTAAATGTACTTTTTTATTCTGTGTTAAAAGCAGATGCCTATTTGGCACTGTTTGGAATCCCATTTGCCTTGTATATTTTGATTAATATTATGCTGGGTAATCAGTACTATGTGGTCTAGGTTCAGTAACCTCACTGTAAAATAATGAGCCTTCAAGAATAAAAAATATGCTCACTATAAAGTTGCATATTCTGAGAAGCAATGAACATATTCAAATGAAATGAAAAAAATGAGGTTTTCACCCAGTAAATTTGCTCGAAGTGAAACTTACATTTCTCAATTTGTATTTAGCTGTCAGTCTGTGCACTAAAAACTGGACAAGCTATCAACCTTTTGCATATGTTTTCTATAAATACCTTTTCTCCTCTGATTCAACTGCCATAGGACTCTGCAGAAGTAGTGGTCTTAAGGGAGCTTACAGCAACTGGGATGCAGCCAATGGCAGTGAGTTCACACAGTAAGTGGAATCTTCAGAAAAGGACCAATGCTCATATTTTATGAAATACGTAACATGCTTTACCCAGAGTTGTCAGAAGAGATGAATTTCAGCCAATGCAAGGTAATAAATAGTAATGTGCACTGCATATATTTGACTTATAACCCTTGGCATTTTGAAACAAAATTCTTTTGAAGAATTCATTTTATACATCATAAACTTTTCTATTGTTTTTCCTGTTTGGGCTGTCTTTGTTATCAAAATTCTTATGAAAGTATTATTCAAAATTGTAAATGAAGCAATATTTTTGAGAGTATACACCTAGGACTTTCTTTCGAGGCACTGCTTGAAATAGGAAAGTTAGTAGTGTAGCAAATGGTTGGTTTCATTAAATCAGAACCTAGAAAGAAAAAACTTAGTAAGTTGTGTGTCCATAATTACAGGAAATTCATTGTTAGAGTTTAATGCTCTTTGCTTTCATGAAGCACTTAATATCTTTGGGAAACAGAATAAATGGTTTTGCCATATTTATTTTTACATACTTGAAATAAAATGTAAAGTCTCAGCTACTGTACAGATGAGAATGTTTTCATTCAAGACAGAACATTTTCCTTTAAAACTAAATGTAGCTTATGTAGCTTACCTCCTCCATAATCTTCTTTTGAACTAAAAGGCATTACATTTTAATGATCATGGTCTAAGAGCTAATGAATGCCTTACTTTGCTTTTATCCAATGGGTGTTTGTTACAAGATCATTTGGATAGTCATTTGTAGCTTTACATTTCAGTTTACATTTTCTCTTTGTTTCCTCCCCACGCATAAACACACAGATATTTTTGGGGATTCTTACATGATATCGTAATTACAAGTATCAAATTAATGTGCAGTGTCACATTATAATCATACGTAAAGCACATAATTTTAAAATCTGCCATTCACATGCAAGAGTATGTATTTTCAAATAATATCCACAAAGAGATTTTACTACTTGTTTATGTTCATAAAACACAAAAAAGGTGAAGGAACACCCCCTCCCTTCCAAGCACACACTGTTTTGCTAAATACACATATACTTTCCACGTAATATGAACACTGCCCCCAAAACTGTGCCTGGTTTTTCACTAGCGATTCTATTCTGAAGTTTCTCCTGGCACATCCTTTTGAGTTCACAAAGGAAACTTGAAGCTGGCCCCTGTAACAAGGCCCCAGAGACTTTGCATTTGCAGTAGCTTCTTACATCTCAATAACAGAAAACAAGACTTGGGAATAGATATATCTTCTCAATCTCATGAGAAGTGTGAAGGCTACTACTTGAATTATTCATTGAACAGGGAATAGAAAGATTATGTGACCACAGCCCACCTTTGCAACTGAACATTTTAACATCATTATAAAAAACATGTATTATGCGTCTCTGATGGTACTGAGCCAGGCACTGTACAAACTGAATTTATGAGAATTGTCCTCTATAAATTCCAGATAAGACATAACTGAATAACTGCAAGATCAATAATGAACATCAGTTATGTAAATTTTATAAAATGTCTATAAATACGTTAGCCAGAGGTGAAAATGTACATACTGTGTTCAATTAAACAAGGTTTTGGTTTTCATTTGCTTTTTTATATCAGCTTTCCTAGACTAGGAAGCAATAGAATAAAGATTGTAATAATTAAGAGAAGAGTCAGAACAAAGAATAATCTGTACTCTCCCATCTTAATTTGTTACCAAGCACCAAAATTCCAGAATTTTACATATAAGTAAATTATTTCAAACTCCACCATGGTTACTATGAAAGGGTTTTGACATAGATCAGCTATTTAACTTTGTATAAGCTTCCCTAATTGAAGATAAATAGAAAAGGGAAGTTAAGAAGATTGCGCTTCTGTTGACACTCAGATTAGCTAATAATTTGTTACTCCTATTTAGCTAAGCCATGAAATACTGTTCTCAGAACAGTAGAAGTTCTGCAGTAGGTGCATTTAAAGGTTGTTTTCTCAATTTAATGAGCCATTTACTTAAAGCCTAATAACTAAGCCAGAATTTTTTTTAATTCACCTGCTTCATGTTGTCACTATGCTGGGCAGTATAGAAACAGATGAACAAAGTACTGCCTCTGCTTTCAATTAGCTCCTAATCTAATAATCAGAGAATAGTAAAGAGAATCAGTCAAATAATGAATGATTTTAATAAGGCACAATGAGTGCTGGCTATGCTGAGAGAATTCAGAGAACTACCCAGCCCAGACTGAAGATACACAGACTGTTTTTCACAGGACAGTCACAAAATATGGAGACACAGAGAGAAAAACAAAGGGGAAGGAGTGGAGCATGAGGGTAAGGCTAAGGGTAAGGGCAGCAGGGATCAGAGGAGCATTACACACACACATACACAAAAAATAGTTTGCAAAGTCTAAGAGGCACATAAGAAATTTCTAAGTACTGCATGTGGGGAAGGGGAAGGAAATGGCAAGATACGGTCAACAGGAAGCTTATCAGGAGGAGACTTGTGTTTAAGGCAAAGAGGCTTACATTTAATCATAATCAATAAAGGGAATCATTAAAGAATATTAAGCAAGGGGGAGAAGTGATCAGATGATCGTTTTAGAGAAATAACTCTGCTAGCAGAAAAGGGGACTAATTGGAACTGCCAAAAGATCATCTGGGAAACCTCAGGTGGCAAGATGTGGTTTGGGAGACGAAAAGTCTAAGGTTTTTGATATTGTTCTTGCTCTTGTTGTTAGGAGGTGTTTCTACAACGTGGCAGCCATTCTTGCCCATGCAGTAGTTTGCAAAGCATATTCATATCCAACATTTGGCATTTCGACTAAAAAGATTGGCATAGCCTTGGAAAAAGTGAACCTTTATAACCAAGAAGTCTGCTGTGGCTCTCATTCCAAATAAAAACATTAGGAATATGTTTAAACCAAAGTTTCTTTTAAAAAAAAATAGGGATATATTTTTGGCCGGGCACGGTGGCTCACGCCTGTAATCCCACCACTTTGGGAGGCCGAGGCGGGCGGATCATGGGGTCAGGAGATCGAGACCATCCTGGCTAACACGGTGAAAACCCGTCTCTACTAAAAATACAAAAAATTAGCGGGGCATGGTGGCAGGCGCCTGTAGTCCGAGCTACTCGGGAGGTTGAGGCAGGAGAATGGCATGAACCCGGGAGGTGGAGCTTGCAGTGAGCCGAGATAGCGCCACTGCACTCCAGCTTGGGCAACAGAGCTAGACTCCGTTTCAAAAAAAAAAAAAAAAAGGGATATATTTTTATCCTAAATCCTCCAGTTAATTAGATAAGTCTACAATCTCAACTCTTGAATTATCTTTCAATACCAAGTACAAAGAAGGACATTTTGGAATAAACAAAAATTGAGAGAGTAGTAAAGCATGGTACCAGACCCTCACTAAAGGAAATTTTAAGATGGACTTTAGGAAGAAAGAAAATCAACCTAGAAAAAATGGTGACTCTATAGATAAATATAAAATACTGTTGATGGCATTAAATAATAATAATGTCTAGTTTAGGAGGTTACAAATGGGGAAAAAATCAAGATAGTGCAAAAATCCTAAAGAACAATCCATAAGAGGAAGGATGATGGGACTTAAAGCATTCCACACTCTTATTTAAGAGTTAGACTGGATATAAACAAAATCCCACTATATATTGCTTCTAAGAAGTATTTGTAAACATGACACTGAAAGATAGAAAGTAAAATGATGAAGGAAGTATATCTGAAGAAAATAGTTGTTCACTGTGAAAACCTGGTATAACCATTTAATTTTAGACAACATAAACTTCGGGGCAAAAGAATTAGTAGAGATAAAGAAAAACTACATATGTGATATGCTTTAATTTACCAATAAGATATAATAACTCCAAATTGGTGTACATCTAAAAACATAGCTTCAAAATATGTAAAGCAAAAGAAAATTTGGCAACCACAAAAATAAATTGACAAGCCCGTGACCAGAATAGATTTTAACACAGCTCTTTGTATACGACTGAAGTTAATAAACTAAGCATCAAACATAAGGAATTCGTAGAAAAATGACATAATGAACCCAAGAAAAGCAGAGATAAGGAAATAATAAAGATAATATGACAAATTAATAAAATATAAAAGGAAAACACAATAGAGAAAATTAAAGAACAAAGTCAAAAGTCTGGCCTGTAAAAAGACTCTGTAGTAGAATTGAGAATTATTTGGCAAGACTAATTAAAGAGAATAAAACAAAATATAACAATCAAACAATATTAGGAATTAAAAAAATGATACGAACACAGGTGTAGTAGAGATTGTTAAATAATCTCTACTAAACATGACTAATATAACATGACTACAATAAACATGACTAAAAATTTATCCCAATATACTTAAAAAATACACAAAAACTCCACAGATTTCCAAACAAATTTTTATTACCTCATTCAATATGAACTAGAACTTAAAGAGTACTATAACCAAAAAGAAAAATAATAAGTAATTCAATAGTTTTCTGCAAAGAAAGCCACAAATAGTTTTGTAGGAAAGTTTACTAAACATGCAATGAACAAGTATTTCAATCTTCTACAAATTATTTTATAGAATAGGAAAAACAGAAAGAATCTCAATTAATTCTATGAGCAGGATCCACTTTGAACACAAAATTAGATCCTTGCTAAAAAATTAAAGACCTTTCTCATAAACGAAAATTGATTCCTGGCCGGACAAGGTGGCTTACGCCTGTAATCTCAGCACTTTGGGAGGCCGAGGTAGGAGGGTTGCTTGAGCCCAGTAATTCAAGACCAGCCTGGACAACATGATGAAACCCCATTTCTGCAAAAAATACAAAAATTAGCTGGATGTGGTGGCTCATACCTGTAATCCCAGCTGCTTGAGAGGCTGGGGTGGAAGGATCATCTGACTAATGGGAGGTCGAGGCTGTAGTGAGTCATGATCACACTTCTGCACTCCAGCCTGGGTGACAGAGTGAGACCCTGTCTCAAAAAAAAAAAAATTCTAAGATTTTGAAAATGTGAACTGAGTGTGCATCACAGCATTATTCAAAATAGTGAAAAACTATAAATCAAATATACATAGAAAAGAGAATAGATAATTCGTAGCATATTCATATAATGAAGTCTAGGGGTGTATATGATAAAGCTATAATAGAAAAGAGAGAAACTATTAATAGCGCAAACTTCAAAATAACAGTAATCTCAGTAAAAGAGGGGAATGTGATCAAGGAGAATACACTAAGCTTCAAAGGTATGGGTACTATTTTATTTTATTTTTAAGCTGATTCGTAGGTATATAGATATGCATTTTGTGTATGCTATTTAGAAAATATTAAATACCACATATGAAAATTTAAATTTAGTGGGTATCTCATTCTCTATCCATGCTATAAAACTAAACACATGATTATTTGTGATATTCTTATATACATCTATGTTAACACTTTGTTAATTTTATCATTCCTCTTGTTCTTAACTAGAGTATAAGCCTGCTTTACTCTATATTGTCTTGTTCAATTATTAAACTCTTGGGCATGGAGGTCCTCGATGAATAGGCATCAGCTGATTTACTAATCAGAGGTTGATATGTAATAATATTAAGGATACAGTTGTCTCAGCCAAATCTCTACAGCATTTAACCTAACCTTACATTCTTAAATTTTTTAATTGATAATTAACTATGCTCAGCATATGTTTTGCATATTATTCACCATTTTCTTGCCTGGAGTCTGATTTTAATATACCTTTAATAAACAACTCCCACCTTCAAAATGATTGTGTCCTGCATAAAAACCACATAGGCCCTAAGTAATTAATTTACTGTTGGGCTAAGTACAATATTGAGCTAGTATTTTCTCTCCAAAGAGTCCTGGACCCAAGAGCCCTTCAGTTTTACAATTTGTTGAGTTATAACAGCGATTTTACCTGAGCTGATTTTTCTAAAAAAAGAAAAAGAAAAAATAAAAGAAGCTTTGCTAAAATAAATGCATATTTAACCCCTACCATAGTGTCCACTTACAAAGGCATTTAAACCACTGTTTAATGAAACTCTTTTCCTTTCTTTATTTTTCTCTTGTATATGTTTAGAAATGCTTCCTACTATAATGTTTCAAATGCTTTCAATAACAATGATATCACTTTTATGTACTGTTAAGTCCAAATGGAAAAAGGCAATGTTTATAAAATATCTTCTTAAAGTTTTTCAAATAATAGACTATTATTGCTTCTGGTACACTTATGGAATTCAAAAATCTCTAAAATATAATAGATATCAACCAAGATTACCATTACACTGGCAAACTATCCATGTTAAAACATAACTTTTCCCAAAGAATTTGACAAATATTATATTTGGGTGCTTAATTTATTGTCCCGGGATAATGAAAGTATTTTATTTTCTCAAAAGTTAAAAATTCTATTTTTAAAAATAATGCCAATATGAGAACCTACATCCATTTATGATCCTTGCAATGGCTACAGTGCCCCTGTGGTATCTTCAACATATTGTTGGACACTTTCAGTTCTTCTTCTTTATGCACATGAAAAGAATTTTAAAATAAATGTGCCCTTTAATAAGCCATATTATAGAGTGTGAAGTAGAATTATTTCAACATAATCTTGACAAACATGTTTGCTAAATTTATTTTGTCTTGTAAACATTGAATACAGGAACTGCTGGCTTTTATTATCACTTACCTTTTATCAGTAATACTTTCATGTGTTTTGCCATGATAATAACCATTTGAAAATTGTATATAGCATAATTGTGCTTTCTAGTGTGCGGTGCACAGTAAGCACTAAAAAGCAGTAGGACTGTCTACCTTCTTATTTGATTTCATCATAACTACCATGGAGATTTTTTTAAAAAGTTGTACCTCTTCTCTCCACCAAGATCTCAGCGATTAGTGCAGCTTATACTTATGGTCTGTGCCTTAAACAGAATACATCTGATATAAAGGAGAATCAATGTCCTACTAAAATTCACAATATGAACTTTAACTCCAAAATTTGATTTAAGAAAAGCATTATGTCTGTGGCATTAAGCAGAAACATAGAACTAGAGGCTCATAATAGAGTTGTGTTAAACATAGTATCATTTTGGTTATCACCCAAATTCCACCGGCCAGTTTTCATTACCAAAATAACTATGCCAACTATGAAATACACACATGTACATATATAATAGAGAACTGCATTTACATATATGCACACAAACATGCACATGTAGGTTGAAGGGAGTGCTCAGTGGTACAGTTTCATGGATGTTTCCTATGGCAATCTCTAATGTGCCCAGATAGGTATTGTGCCTGAGTAACTCATTACTCGTTGTGGTGGATTCACTCCCATCTGTGACCAATGTTTACAGTTTGATGCATATAAGAAAAAGGATTCAGTCATGATATTAGCTGATGAATTTCATGATGGTCATCATCAAAGACCACAGGCATCCATTTCATGAATGCATGCTATGTTTTTTTAAAACAAAATACACAAAAGACATAGGGTCTTATACAAATGCATTTTTCTCAAGGAAGATGCCTCTGACTTTCTAATCTAGGTTATAAGATTCTTACATTGAGAGGACTCTCAAAAAAAACTTGCATGAGAGTGAGGGAAACAGGACAGCGAAAGAGAGGAAGTTCAGCAAAGAATGGTTGGCATAAAGTTGAGCTTCGACCTGATCCCACAGAGGAGCTCCAAAACATAAGTTATCCCACAGAGTATATCCTACCTTAAAGTAGTTATTGGACTTCTGTACACAGCATCGGTTATTGGATACAGGCTTCCTCAAGGCAGGGAGGTCGGGCTTAATTCCTAGGCTCTCCAAATAAGATGACTCCACTATCCTAAGAGCAACACTCCAGAAAAGGTTACAGATGTGTGTCATTGCAGCAAAATCCCATCATGATGCTGAGAGTAGACACACCAAACCAATAAGGGTTCCCAGGGAATCTAAGCATGGCACCAATGAGTCTGTGGCAACTGGTTTTCTCCTCTAGAAACTATAAGCTCAGTAATAACAACTGTAGTTTCAGTCTTGTTTAGGATCTGAATGATATCAGACACATACTAGAGATGCAAGATATGTTTATGATAAAATGAATAAATAAATGAATCAATGGCATTAGCAATCATGCTTTTACCTACTGTAAATTCACTGTCATTTTAATGAGAATTGGCCCTGTATGCAGGTTGAATTTACCAAAGTTCCATCGTAACATTTCAGTGTAAAGAAAAGCTCACCAAATTAGAATATACATCCAGAATTGTTACTACAATTTTCAAGTTAACCTTTATTTTTCAAAATCTGTTGACTCAGTATTTAGGTCAATACATTACTTTTGTAAGTAATCAGGACATAAATGATACCTGTTTATCAAGCAAATAGGTACACAAAAAGGCAAAGAGATCTACAAGTCAGAGAAATGTATTGTCTTGTAATGTTAACATTAGCAAGCCAATGAATTGGTTAATTTATGTGATTAACCTTTCACTATCCACTGTTAATGATTAGTGGCACATATACTTGTTTATTTGCAATATTAATGTAATGCATTATATACTGTTTTTCACCTAGAATTATGTCATAAACAATTTGGTTTTTCTACAGGTCCTTCATATTTATAGTAATGGATATACAACACATACATGTAAACAGAACATATACGTATGCATGTATATTCTAATAGATTGTACTATATGTTAGTAAAATATTTTCTTTTATTCATGTTTTACTATCATTACTAGAGCAACAGTGAGCATATTTAAGTGTATTTAAGCTTCTGTTAGATTGCTTATGTGGGATAAAATTAGGAATGAAAATATGATATTCAAGTCTCAAGCAATTTAATTTCTCTGCCATATTACTTTTCAGAAACTCTGTATGAAATTACAGAGTTGGCAGTAATAAAAAAATGGCAATTTCTTTGAAGTATTGCCAACATTGAATGTTTTGTTTTTTGTTTGTTTCTTTACTACCCTTACTGTGGAAAAAAAAAATCTTAAGATTGCCTTATTTTATATTTTTTTGATAACTACAGAAGCTAGATTTTTGTCCCATTTATTTATCCATTGTATTTCCTATGTATAAACTATGATATTGTTTGCCCATTAATTTACTTGGGATCTTGAATTTTTTCTACTAATTTGAATACATATTATCTTAATCATATTGAGGAAAATATCTATAACATGCAACAAACAATATTATTATTCAATATTATTATAAAATAATATTTAGGTTATATATTTCTTATTTCCCAGAAACTTAATGTGCATATATATTTCATCATAATTTCTCCTACTAATTCAAAACAAAAAAATTATTCTACCAAGTTATTTTTAATTTCTGAACCCCATTACTTGCTAATTTTTCTCTTGTTTAATGCTCATTTTTAACTATTGAACGCACCTATCATTATTTTATTTTATTTTGTTTATGTTTTCATAATACCATCTGTTAAAGAGACTATCTTCTCCCCATTGTGCATCTTGGCACCATTTTTGAAAATCAATTGACTGCATATTATATTGTGACGATTTTTCACTGGACTTGTACTAGGCAAAATTCTTATGCATTATGTTAGCCTTTTGGAACCGTTATCTTTTTTCCTTTGACAAGTTTCCTGTTTGCCTTTCTTTAAAACCATTACTTTTTTTTTTAATTATTATTATTATTATCATACTTTAAGTTTTAGGGTACATGTGCACAATGTGCAAGTTAGTTACATATGTATACATGTGCCATGCTGGTGCGCTGCACCCACTAACTCGTCATCTGGCATTAGGTATATCTCCCAGTACTATCCCTCCCCCCTCCCCCCACCCCACAACAGTCCCCAGAGTGTGATGTTCCCCTTCCTGTGTCCATGTGTTCTCATTGTTCAATTCCCACCTATGAGTGAGAATATGCGGTGTTTGGTTTTTTGTTCTTGCAATAGTTTACTGAGAATGATGATTTCCAATTTCATCCATGTCCCTACAAAGGACATGAACTCATCATTTTGTATGGCTGCATAGTATTCCATGGTGTATATGTGCCACATTTTCTTAATCCAGTCTATCATTGTTGGACATTTGGGTTGGTTCCAAGTCTTTGCTGTTGTGAATAATGCTGCAATAAACATATGTGTGCATGTGTCTTCATAGCAGCATGATTTATAGTCCTTTGGATATATACCCAGTAATGGGATGGCTGGGTCAAATGGTATTTCAAGTTCTAGGTCCCTGAGGAATCGCCACACTGACTTCCACAATGGTTGAACTAGTTTACAGTCCCACCAACAGTGTAGAAGTGTTCCTATTTCTCCACATCCTCTCCAGCACCTGTTGTTTCCTGACTTTTTAATGATTGCCATTCTAACTGGTGTGAAATGGTATCTCATTGTGGTTTTGATTTGCATTTCTGTGATGGCCAGTGACGGTGAGCATTTTTTCATGTGTCTTTTGGCTGCATAAATGTCTTCTTTTGAGAAATGTCTGTTCATGTCCTTTGCCCACTTTTTGATGGGGTTGTTTGTTTTTTTCTTGTAAATTTGTTTGAGTTCATTGTAGATTCTGGATATTAGCCCTTTGTCAGATGAGTAGGTTGCGAAAATTTTCTCCCATTTTGTAGGTTGCCTGTTCACTCTGATGGTGGTTTCTTTTGCTGTGCAGAAGCTCTTTAGTTTAATTAGAACCCATTTGTCAATTTTGGCTTTTGTTGCCATTGCTTTTGGTGTTTTAGACATGAAGTCCTTGCCCATGCCTATGTCCTGAATGGTAATGTCTAGGTTTTCTTCTAGGGTTTTTATGGTTTTAGGTCTAACATGTAAGTCTTTAATCCATCTTGAATTGATTTTTGTATAAGGTGTAAGGAAGGGATCCAGTTTCAGCTTTCTACATATGGCTAGCCAGTTTTCCCAGCACCATTTATTAAATAGGGAATCCTTTCCCCAATGCTTGTTTTTCTCAGGTTTGTCAAAGATCAGATAGTTGTAGATATGCGGCGTTATTTCTGAGGGCTCTGTTCTGTTCCATTGATCTATATCTCTGCTTTGGTACCAGTACCATGCTGTTTTGGTTACTGTAGCCTTGTAGTACAGTTTGAAGTCAGGTAGTGTGATGCCTCCAGCTTTGTTCTTTTGGCTTAGGATTGACTTGGCAATGTGGGCTCTTTTTTGGTTCCATATGAACTTTAAAGTAGTTTTTTTCAATTCTGTGAAGAAAGTCATTGGTAGCTTGATGGGGATGGCATTGAATCTATAAATTACCTTGGGCAGTATGGCCATTTTCACGATATTGATTCTTCCTACCCATGAGCATGGAATGTTCTTCCATTTGTTTGTATCCTCTTTTATTTCCTTGAGCAGCAGTTTGTAGTTCTCCTTGAAGAGGTCCTTCACGTCCCTTCTAAGTTGGATTCCTAGGTATTTTATTCTCTTTGAAGCAATTGTGAATGGGAGTTCACTCATGATTTGGCTCTCTGTTTGTCTCTTGTTGGTGTATATGAATGCCTGTGATTTTTGTACATTGATTTTGTATCCTGAGACTTTGCTGAAGTTGCTTATCAGCTTAAGGAGATTTTGGGCTGAGACAATGGGGTTTTCTATATATGCAATCATGTCATCTGCAAACAGGGACAATTTGACTTCCTCTTTTCCTAATTGAATACCCTTTATTTCCTTCTCCTGCCTCATTGCCCTGGCCAGAACTTCCAACACTATGTTGAATAGGAGTGGTGAGAGAGGGCATCCCTGTCTTGTGCCAGTTTTCAAAGGGAATGCTTCCAGTTTTTGCCCATTCAGTATGATATTGGCTGTGGGTTTGTCATAGATAGCTCTTATTATTTTGATATACATCCCATCAATACCTAATTTATTGAGAGTTTTTAGCATGAAGCGTTGTTGAATTTTGTCAAAGGCTTCTTCTGCATCTATTGAGATAATCATGTGGTTTTTGTCTTTGGTTCTGTTTATATGCTGGATTACATTTATTGATTTGCATATATTGAACCAGCCTTGCATCCCAGGGATGAAGCCCACTTGATCATAGTGGATAAGCTTTTTGATGTGCTGCTGGATTCAGTTTGCCAGTATTTTATTGAGGATTTTTGCATCAATGTTCATCAAGGATATTGGTCTAAAATTCTCTTTTTTGGTTGTGTCTCTGCCTGGCTTTGGTATCAGGATGATGCTGGCCTCATAAAATGAGTTAGGGAGGATTCCCTCTTTTTCTATTGATTGAAATAGTTTCAGAAGGAATGGTACCAGTTCCTCCTTGTACCTCTGGTAGAATTCGGCTGTGAATCCATATGGTCCTGGACTCTTTTTGGTTGGTAAGCTATTGATTATTGCCACAATTTCAGATCCTGTTATTGGTCTATTCAGAGATTCAACTTCTTCCTGGTTTAGCCTTGGAAGAGTGTATGTGTGGAGGAATTTATCCATTTCTTCTAGATTTTCTAGTTTATTTGCATAGAGGTGTTTGTAGTATTCTCTGATGGTAGTTTGTATTTCTGTGGGATCAGTGGTGATATCCCCTTTATCATTTTTTATTGCATCTATTTGATTCTTCTCTTTTTTTTTCTTTATTAGTCTCGCTAGCGGTTTATCGATTTTGTTGATGCTTTCAAAAAACCAGCTCCTGGATTCATTAAGTTTTTGAAGGGTTTTCTGTGTCTCTATTTCCTTCAGTTCTGCTCTGATTTTAGTTATTTCTTGCCTTCTGCTAGCTTTTGAATGTGTCTGCTCTTGCTTTTCTAGTTCTTTCATTGTGATGTTAGGGTGTCAATTTTAGATCTTTCCTGCTTTCTCTTGTGGGCATTTAGTGCTATAAATTTCCCTCTACACACTGCTTTGAATGCGTCCCAGAGATTCTGGTATGTTGTGTCTTTGTTCTCATTGATTTCAAAGAACATCTTTATTTCTGCCTTCATTTCGTTATTTACCCAGTAGTCATTCAGGAGCAGGTTGTTCAGTTTCCATGTAGTTGAGCGGTTTTGAGTGAGATTCTTAATCCTGAGTTCTAGTTTGATTGCACTGTGATCTGAGAGATAGTTTGTTATAATTTCTGTTCTTTTACATTTGCTGAGGAGAGCTTTACTTCCAAGTATGTGGTCAATTTTGGAATAGGTGTGGTGTGGTGCTGAAAAAAATGTATATTCTGTTGATTTGGGGTGGAGAGTTCTCTAGATGTCTATTAGGTCTGCTTGGTGCAGAGTTGAGTTCAATTCCTGGGTATTCTTGTTGACTTTTTGTCTCGTTGATCTGTCTAATGTTGACAGTGGGGTGTTAAAGTCTCCCATTATTAATGTGTGGAAGTCTAAGACTCTTTGTAGGTCACTCAGGACTTGCTTTATGAATCTGGGTGCTCCTGTATTGGGTGCATATATATTTAGGATAGTTAGCTCTTCTTGTTGAATTGATCCCTTTACCATTATGTAATGGGCTTCTTTGTCTCTTTTGATCTTTGTTGGTTTAAAGTCTGTTTTATCAGAGACTAGGATTGCAACCCCTGCCTTTTTTTGTTTTCCATTAGCTTGGTAGATCTTCCTCCATCCTTTTATTTTGAGCCTATGTGTGTCTCTGCACGTGAGATGGGTTTCCTGAATACAGCACACTGATGGGTCTTGACTCTTTATCCAATTTGCCAGTCTGTGTCTTTTAATTGGAGCATTTAGTCCATTTACATTCAAAGTTAATATTGTTATGTGTGAATTTGATCCTGTCATTATGATGTTAGCTGGTGATTTTGCTCGTTAGTTGATGCAGTTTCTTCCTAGTCTCAATGGTCTTTACATTTTGGCATGATTTTACAGCAGCTGGTACCAGTTGTTCTTTTCCATGTTTAGTGCTTCCTTCAGGAGCTCTTTTAGGGCAGGCCTGGTGGTGACAAAATCTCTCAGCATTTGCTTGTCTGTAAAGGATTTTATTTCCCCTTCACTTGTGAGGCTTAGTTTGGCTGGATATGAAATTCTGGATTGAAAATTCTTTACTTTAAGAATGTTGAATATTGGCCCCCACTCTTTTCTGGCTTGTAGAGTTTCTGCCAAGAGATCTGCTGTTAGTCTGATGGGCTTCCCTTTGAGGGTAACCCGACCTTTCTCTCTGGCTGCCCTTAACATTTTTTCCTTCATTTCAACTTTGGTGAATCTGACAATTATGTGTCTTGGAGTTGCTCTTCTCGAGGAGTATCTTTGTGGCGTTCTCTGTATTTTCTGAATCTGAATGTTGGCCTGCCTTGCTAGGTTGGGGAAGTTCTCCTGGATAATATCCTGCAGAGTGTTTTCCAACTTGGTTCCATTTTCCCCGTCACTTTCAGGCACATCAATCAGACGTAGATTTGATCTTTTCACATAGTCCCATATTTCTTGGAAGCTTTGCTCGTTTCTTTTTATTCTTTTTTCTCTAAACTTCCCTTCTCGCTTCATTTCATTCATTTCATCTTCTATCGCTGATACCCTTTCTTCCAGTTGATCGCATCGGCTCCTGAGGCTTCTGCATTCTTCACGTAGTTCTCGAGCCTTGGTTTTCAGCTCCATGAGCTCCTTTAAGCACTTCTCTGTATTGGTTATTCTAGTTATACATTCTTCTAAATTTTTTTCAAAGTTTTCAACTTCTTTGCCTTTGGTTTGAATGTCCTCCCATAGCTCGGAGTAATTTGATCGTCTGAAGCCTTCTTCTCTCAGCTCGTCAAAGTCATTCTCCATCCAGCTTTGTTCCGTTGCTGGTGAGGAACTGCCTTCCTTTGGAGGAGGAGAGGTGCTCTGCTTTTTAGAGTTTCCAGTTTTTCTGCTCTGTTTTTTCCCCATCTTTGTGGTTTTATCTACTTTTGGTCTTTGATGATGGTGATGTACAGATGGGTTTTTGGTGTGGATGTCCTTTTTGTTTGTTAGTTTTCCTTCTAACAGACAGGACCCTCAGCTGCAGGTCTGTTGGAGTACCCGGCCATGTGAGGTGTCAGTGTGCCCCTGCTGGGGGGTGCCTCCCAGTTAGGCTGCTCGGGGGTCAGGGGTCAGGGACCCACTTGAGGAGGCAGTCTGCCCGTTCTCAGATCTCCATCTGCGTGCTGGGAGAACCACTGCTCTCTTCAAAGCTGTCAGACAGGGACATTTAAGTCTGCAGAAGTTACTGCTGTCTTTTTGTTTGTCTGTGCCCTGCCCCCCAGAGGTGGAGCCTACAGAGGCAGGCAGGCCTCCTTGAGCTGTGGTGGGCTCCACCCAGTTCGAGCTTTCCGGCTGCTTTGTTTACCTAAGCAAGCCTGGGCAATGGCGGGCGCCCCTCCCCCAGCCTCGCTGCCGCCTTGCAGTTTGATCTCAGGCTGCTGTGCTAGCAATCAGCGAGACTCCATGGGCGTAAGTCCCTCCAAGCCAGGTGGGAGATATAATCTCCTGGTGCGCCGTTTTTTAAGCCCATCGGAAAAGCGCAGTGTTCAGGTGGGAGTGACCCAATTTTCCAGGTGCCATCTGTCACCCCTTTCTTTGACTAGAAAAGGGAACTCCCTGACCCCTTGTGCTTCCCGAGTGAGGCAATGCCTCGCCCTGCTTCGGCTTGTGCACGGTGCATGCACCCACTGACCTGCGCCCACTGTCTGGCACTCCCTAGTGAGATGAACCCGGTACCTCAGATGGAAATGCAGAAATCACCCATCTTCTGTGTCGCTCATGCTGGGAGCTGTAGACCGGAGCTGTTCCTATTCGGCCATCTTGGCTCCTCTCCCCTAAAATCATTACTTGTTGAGTCTAGTTTCTCACCTTACATCAACACATTCTTGTCCATTATTTTGACAAAACAAACTTCTTACTCATCTCACTGAGAAAGATAACTGGCAATTATATAAAGTACTAGGAATTTGAATTCAGTACTCTATTAAAAGAATATTACATTATGAACGAGTACTAATTTTTTCTCCCCTTTAGAAATCCAAAGATCAATATTAATATCAGAGACTCTTTTAACATAATATTAAGGTAACAGGTTAAATAAGAAAATAATGGATAATAATTTACTACATGTCTAAAAGTCATTGCTAAAACTTAGAACCGAATTCTAGTAAATGCATTTTATTAGATGAAATAAAATAGTTTTTCCTTGCTAAACAGAAAGCCAGTATTACATTCAATAGCAACGTCTATGCATGAATCACGGTGTATATGTCCAGTTCTAAGAAGCTTATATAAACCATTCTAATCTAAGTCTTTAAATCCAAACTTGAACTTAATAATACTTGATTTAAAATAAACTTGAAAAATGTTTATTTAGAAGAACATATGCACTATTACTGAATAAAAAGAGACCTGCTCCTCTCAGACTGCAGAACATATTATTTAGAATAAAAACATAAAACACTACACAATTTGTGCAACGTTTTAAACAGTGAGTGGAACAGAAGGGAAAGAACTAAAATAATAATTACATACCAACTCTTATTATATGATAATGTAAACTTTCTGAGGAAAAACATTAAGACACAATTATTACATAAGTATATTTGGAACAATTATGGAAAATGTTATTTCCATCTCTTACCTCTTAATTTGAAATATATGCAAAACCAGCATTAACATGGAAATTTATAGTGAGAAACATCTACATTCAGAAAGAAGAAATATCTCAAATGAACAACCTAAGTATACCTCAAGGAACTAAAAAAAAATGAACAAAGTTCATTTTGAGAACTAAGCTCAAAGTTAGCAGAAGAAAGGAAATAATAAAGATTAAAACAAAATTAAACAAAGCAAAAACAATTTAAGAATCAGTGAAACTAACAGTTGGAATTTTTAAAAAATCAACAAAATTGATAATAAAATCAGAAATTAAAGAGGAGACATTATAACTGATGCAACAGAAATAAAACACATCATAAGGGACTATTATAAAATATCATATACCAACAAATGGGTTAACCTAGAAGAAATGGATAAATTCCTGGAAACATACAACCTACCAAAACTACATCATGAAGAAATGGAAAACTTGAACAGGCCAATAATGAGTAAGACTGAAAAAGTAAATATAAACCTCCTAACAAAGAAAATCCCAGAACCAGATGCCTTCATTGGTAAATTCTATGAAACATTTAAAGAAAAACAAACACCAATCCTTAAGCCCTTTCAAAAAATCGGAGAGAAACTTTCAAAGTTGTTTTATGAAGCCAGCATTGTCCTGATACCAAAGTCAAAGACACTGTAAGAAAAGAAAACTATGGGCCAATATCCCAGATGAATAGAGATGCACAGATCCTCAACAAAATACTATAAAACTAAATCCAATAGCACATTAAAAAAATCATACAGCCTGATCAAGTGGGACTTACATCTGGGATGCAAAGATGGTTAAACATATGCTAATCAATTAATGTGACTGAAAGATGAAAATAACGTGATCATTTTGATGAATGCAGAAAGGACATTTGACAAAATTTAACACAATTTCATAATGAAAATTCTCAACAAACTATATATAGCAGGAATTTACCTCAACACAATAAAGGTCATATGAGAAGCCCATAGCTAATATCATTCTCAATAGTGAAAAATTGAAAGATATTCCTCTAGCTCAAAAATAAGGCAAGTATGCCCACTCTCACCACTTCTATTCACATTGTACTGGAAGTTTTAGCAAGAGCAGTTAGGCAATTAAAGTCATTTCAAATCAGAAAGGAAGAAGTAAAATTACCTTGTTTGCATACAGCATGATCTTAAATATTGGAAATCCCAAAGACACCACACATACAAAAAAAGTTAGCACTAATAAACCAATACAGGAAAGTTGCAAAACAAAAAATCAACACACAAACATCAGTAGCATTTATATGTACTAACAATGAACTATCCAAAAAGTAATTAAGAAAAATAACATATTTATAATAGCATTAAAAAAATAAAATTCTTAGGAGTACACTCAACCAAGAAGGTGAAAGACTTGTATATTAAAAACTACAAATCAATGATGCAAGAAATTTAAATTGATGCAAATACATGGAAAGATATCTTGTTCATCAGTTGGAAGACGTAATAATGTTTCAATGTCCATACTACCCAAAGCAATCAACTGATTCAATGCAATCCCTATCAAATTCCCAATGACATTTTTTGCAGAAATAGAAAAAAATCTTAACATTTTTATAGAACCAGAGAGGCTAAATAACCAAATCAATCTTGAGAAAAAAACACATAACAGGAGATATAACAGTTAATGATTTAATAATATATTGCAAAGCTATGCTAATTAAAACAGTGTGGTTCTGATATAAAAAGACAAAACAGACATATAAGACAGAATTGACAGCCCTGAAATAAATCTATATGTATACAGTCAACTGATCTTTGACAAGAATGCCAAGAATACACAATGGGGAAGAAAACACACAATGGGGAAATTTCACATATATTGTTGTGGAAACTGGATATCCATATGCAAAAGAAAGAAATATGGCCCTTATACTATACAAAAAGGAAAAAGGTCTCAAAACAGCTTAACAACAATGTAAAAAGTGAAACTATAAAACTCCCAGAAGAAAACATACGAGAAAACCTTCACGACATCATGCCTGGCAGTGATTTCTTGGGTATGACACCAAAAGCACAGGCAACAGAAAAGCTAAATGATAAGAACACATGGACACATAGAGGAGAACAACACACAGTGGGGCTTATTGGAGGGTAGAGGGTGGTGATGAAATAATCTGTGCAACAAACAACCATGACACAAGTTTACCTATGTAACAAACCTGCACATGTACCCCTACACTTGAAATAAAAGTTAAAAGAAAAGGAAAAAAAAAAAGGAGACTATATCAAACTAAAAGCTGCTGCACAGCAAATAAAACAATCAACAGAGTAAAAAGGCAGCATACAGAATGAGAGAAAATATTTGAAAGTCATATATCTGATGAGGGGTTAATATTCAAAATATGCAAGGTACAACTCAACAGCCAAAAAACAAATAATCTAATTACAAACTGGGCGAAGGACTTGAATAGATATTTCTCTAAAGAAGACATAAAAATGGCAACAAGTATGTGAAAAAATGCTCAACATCACTAGTCGTCAGGGAAATGCAAATTGAAACTACCATATAATAGCACCTAATACCTGTAAGAATGGAGATTATCAAAAAACAACAACAAAAAAGATAACGAGTTTTGGCAAGAATGCGGAGAAATTGGAAGCTTCATGCACTCTTGTAGGAAAGGCAACTGGTGCAGCTACTATAGAAAACAGTATGATTGCTCCTCAAAAAATAAAAATGGAATTGCCATGTGATCCAGCAATCTTACCTCTGGGTATACATCCAAAAGTATTAAAATCAGGATCTTGAAGATCTTGTGTTCACTGCACCATTATTCAAAATAGCCAAGATTAGAAACAACCTAAATGTCCATCCACAGATGAATGGATAAACAAAATGTGGTATATATGTACAAGAAAGTATAATTTAGCCTTTAAAAAGAAGGAAATTCTGTCATCTGTGACAATATAAATGAGCCTGAAGGACATTATTCTAAGTTAAATAATCCCTGTTATAGAAAGATTAATACTGCTAGATTCCACTCATTTGAGGTATTTACAATAGTCAAATCCATAGAAACAAAGAGCACAATGGTAGTTGCCAAGAGCTGGGGGAAAGGAAAAATGGAAAGTTGTTGGTTAATGAGTATAAAGTTTTTGTTATGCAAGATGAATATGTTCTGGAGATCTGCTGTACAACCCTGTGCCTCTAGTTAACAATATTGTACTGTGCACTTTAAAATTTGGTACTAAGGTAATCTCATGTTAAGTGTCTTTAACAGTAAAAAAGAAAAAAAAAAGAAAAATAGTTGCATCATATTTTGTGTAAAATTATGAGAGGATAAATATAACCACCAGGAATATTTTCAATTGACTCTGCAATTGCCAGTAATAAACACACACAGTGAACTCTTTGGAGGCAGAATACTATTTTCTTCACTCTTATTGACAATAAACAAAAGAATGCTCGTGGAATAAGGCATTTCATTTATGATTTTATTTTATTGTAATTCATTTCCTGCTTATGAAATTATTTGAAGTAGCTCATTCTTTATATGGTAAATTATTTGTTTCTTATTTGTACAGATATTTAATTATTGATTCATTCTCTAAATGTTTCATAATATAGAAAGAAAAATATTTTGGATCACTGTAAAATATGTGAGCATGCCCTCTGAGCCCTGCAACTAAAGTGCTCCTCATCTTGTCATTGTCTTAAATTTATTCAAACTTTGAAACATTTTTATTTTATTTTATTTTATTTTATTTTATTTTATTTTATTTTATTTTATTTTTATTTTTATTTTATTTTAGAGACGGAGTCTTGCTCTGTCACCCAGGCTGGAGTGCAGTAGCGCAATCTCGGCTCACTGCAACTTCTGCCTCCTGGGTTCAAGGGATTCTCCTGTCTTAGCCTTCAGGGTATCTGGGACTACAGGAACATGCCACCACGGCTGGCTAATTTTTGAATTTTTAGTAGAGACAGGGTTTCGCCATATTGGCCAGGCTGGTCTCGAATTCCTGACCTCAAGTGATCCACCCGCCTTGGGCTTCCAAAGTGCTGGGATTACAGGTGTGAGCCACCACCCCTGGTCCTGAAGCATTTTAAAATGCAAAACCTTTCTTGATTCTACCTGCAACCATGTAGGAAGTGTCTGTTCCCTTTTCCACTTTCAAATATGTATATATTTATTTCTAGTAGGTTTAATGGAAATACATAGGTTTAAGAGCTGAGGGGACAAAAAAACATATTGAAATCCTAAGTCTGCTACGTATTTGCAGTGTGAGTCTGAACTGAGGATTTTTGCACCTCCGTTCTCTCATTTGCTAAATGGAATACTGCCATTTCCCTCACAAGGTTGGTATGTGTCTTTTATGAAAGAATATGTGCTAAATCTCAACAAAGTTCATTTTTACTCTTATGTAACATTTTTAGTGTTTGCATTTATAGTTATCATTAAATTTTAGTCCTGCTATAATATTTTGTCAGTTTACTTGAGGTCAGACAGCGTATTTTATTCATTCTAGTATCTCATTTGACTCAGTGAGTTTGGGAAATCAGTTGATGTGCTCCAATCTCTGGAAATCAAAAAGACCAGAAACTGCTTGCCCAATTAATTCCTGAAAGTCAGTGTTTGTATAGTGGCTGGAGTGTCTGCTAGAGTATTTGTACCCACTGTGCATTATCCCTGATTCGTAGGCATTAATTCTTCAAGAGGTGCTTGTTGATGATGTTTGAAAAAAAAAAAAGGATTTTGTTGCCGCTCTCCAATTTGAAAAATACATAATGGCTTTTTTCTTTTTTACAGTCTTACTATATAAAGTTTTTATTCCTTTATATCTGACATCTCGTTAGTGTTGGTGTCAGTCTGGATGGTGTCTCTTAACTCTTTGTGCCTTTGAAAAATCACCAGGAACTGCCCTTATGGGCAAGTCCATGTAGACCCACAACACACAGGTGAAAAGTAAATTGAATAATGGTCTCTAAAGAAAATGGGCCACTTCGAGAGCGACTCCTGGGGCATCCAGGTTGGACAGTTCACCCTTGCACAGTCCAGACTGCAGCTGCTCTGGAAGGTCTTCACTATGGGATAGTCCTGAGATTCTTAGGAAACAACATTTATATGTTGGTCTCTCATCTATTTCTAGTCTTCTTTCATTTATCACAGCCTCTAACAAAATTACTCCAAGAGGATTTTGAAATCTCTGGTAAGAGCTATGCCACGTTCATAGTATTTTCCTAAGACAGTAACAGACAAAATTTCTTGGGCATTATTTTAGAGTTGGGAAGATTGGGTTGAAGAGAGACCAAAAATTTGGTATTGTAGATTTTTATTCATGCCAGATCATTGGGGAAATAAAGTTTTACACTGCAATTAACAATCTCTCTTTGAATCAAGATGGTAATGCTAGAGAGGAGAGGAAGGGTAAGAAGTGACTCAGTTAATATTTGTTACAGTTGTTATTACTACTGCTCTTACGTTACGGCTGTTACTCCCATTGTTTCTAAAAAATAATCAAAGCATGAAGATCTTAAAACATGTTCATAATTGTATGGAAAAATTGAATCTCTGCCCCTATATTTTTCTGTGGTCTTAGAGTCAATCTGTTATCATTGTTAACATCAATTAAACTATTTATGTTTGTTTTGCCCATAGTCTGTAGCAATCCTACCATGTTCTCTCACAAATAACAATGTTTCTAAATGTCCAAAAGATATAGCAGCTAAGCCATACAAGTTCATCACAGAAGGGACCTGCATGTTCTCAAAACACACACACACACACAAACACACACTTTCTCTCACACATACCCGTGAATGTTTTTCTTTTTTTTTCTACAAAACCAATAGGTATTAAACACTAATTAACTTATATTCTTAAAGAAAGGCAATGAAAATCTATTTGCAAGTCTGAAATATATTTTGATCATACCTAGAATTGTTGACATTATTTTCAAGAGGATAATATCCCAGGAGCACACAGAGGTTTTATTATTCTTCTATAAATATTATCTCAAATAACATTTTGTCAAATATGTTCTGTTTTACTTATAAATATTACTTTGTACCATAATCGTTTAGTAGGTACATCATTTAGTATTCTGCTTACTAAGTAAAAGAAATAGTGATTTCATTACCCAAATTAATGCTGACCACATAAATTGTGTAGTCCTTAGTTATGCTTTAAAACATTGTATGAATTCCTAGCAGAAAGACATTTTCTGCTTTTTAAGTTAATCAAATAATGTTAAGTAGTTGTCTGTAATATATTTCTTTGGGTCTCAAACAAGTATCTAACTATCTAGAGTAGTAAGTAGGGAAAAATCACTTAAAGGGCAATCCTGTAAGGCTAAAGTAGAAAACTGTACAAATCAACATATATATTAGCTTGAAATGGAAAATATAAATTAATTGTTACAAAGCAGAAGCTCACAAATTGGCAAGAAAGAATGTCATAGAAAGTAACCTATTACAAGCTAATCGGAAACCAACCAGATGCCATCTCCAGTAGGACTGAATGATTAAAATAATTTAATTATTTTCCAATGAATAATTATATAGTTTATTCTCCTTTCTTGACCTTTCAGTTAAAGTTAAAATCTTATTGATGACATTTTTATAGAACACCACCAATAAAAACCATATTTACACAGAAGCCAATCTAAAAGAGATCCCAATAGTTAAAGCTAAAACAATTTGAGCAAAAAAATAATAATAGTATTGAGTTTTAGCAAATAATTAGATATTCAAGTCCATACTGATTTTATTTTTTATTTTTCAAATTATTACATAATAATATTGACTTTTTAAATTGATGTACAATTCAATACATTTTAGCATATTTATGGATTTGTATAACCATCACCACAACCATGATACAGAGCAGATCCCTCACAATAAAGAACTTCTTTTTACTATCCTTTTATAGTCACTTCCTCCCTTGACCCTTATCTCTGGTAACCATTGATCTATTCTCTAAAAGTAAAATTTTTTAAATTTTTTTCTAGAATACCCTACAAATAGAACCATACAGTATGTAACCTTCTCAAACAGGTTTCTTTCCCTCAGCCCAATACATTTGATATTCATCCAAGTTGTTCCAAATATCATCCGTTTGTTCTATTTTGTTGGCATTAATCCTATTGTCTGGATATAAACAGTTTGTTTATTTACCCACTGAAGGACATTTGGATTCTTTTCAGTTGTCTTATTGTTTTGTTTTTGCAAGTATTAACACAGTTGCTATAAACATTTTTTTTACAGATACTTGTGTAAATATAGGTTTGCAGTTCTTTCGGCTACATACCCAGGAGTTGAATGGCTGTGTCGGTGGAAAAATATGTTTAACTTTGTAAAAAAATTACTAAAACATTTTCCGACTGGCAATACCATTTTATATTCCCTCTAGCAATGAATGATCTTCACATTGCATTCTTGCTGGTCCTGAATATAGTCAGTATTTTTTCTTTAGCAATCTTATAGATGTGTAGTGATATCTTATCATTACATTAGTTTGCATTTCTCTGACAGCTGATGAGGTCGAATTTATTTCCATGTGCTTTTTTGCCGTAACTGTATCTCTTTTTGCAAGTGTTAGTTCAACCATCTGACCAATTATTATATGCATTGTTTGTTTTCTGATTGTTGAGTTTTGAGAGTTCTTTATATAGTCTTGATAAATATCATTTGTTGGATATATAATTTACAAGTAATTTTACTCAATACATAGCTTGTCTTTATCCACTTAACAGTGTATTTCACAGAGCAAAAGTTGTCTTTAAATTTTGGTAAAGTCCAGTTTACCCTTTTTTTTCTTTTATGGATCATACTTTCGATGTTGTGTTTAAGAATTCTTCATCTATTAGACACCTATCTCTTGCCATATGTGCAAATCAAATTAAAATGGATTAAAAAATTTAAATCAAATACCTCAAACCATGAAACTACTACAAGAAAACATTGGGGAAAATCTCCAGGACATTGATCTAAGCAAAAAAATTATTGGGCAATACCCCACAAGCACAGCCAACCAAAGCAAAAATGGACAAATGGGACCACATCAAGTCAAAGAGCTTCTGCACAGCAAATAATACAATCAACAAAGTGAGGAGACATCCCAAAGAATGGGAGAAAATATTTGAAAGCTAGCCCTCTGACAAGCTATTAATACCCAGTATACATAGGGAGCTAAAACAACTCTATGGGAAAAAAATCTAATAATTCCATCAAAACATGGGCAAAAGGCTTGAATA
Source organism: Homo sapiens (assembly GCF_000001405.40). NCBI lineage: Eukaryota > Metazoa > Chordata > Mammalia > Primates > Hominidae > Homo > Homo sapiens. Next base: position 91,753,087 of record NC_000005.10, on the reverse strand, counting down.
GACATTTCTCAGAAGACATACAAATGGCAACCCAGAATATGAAAAAGGTACTCAACATCATTGATCGTCAGAGAAATGCAAAGCAACACTACAATGAGATATCACCTCAATTCAGTTAAAATGCCTTGTATTCAAAAGACAGGCAATAGCAAATACTGGTAAGAATGTGGAGAGAAGGGAACCCTTGTATACTATTGGTGGGAATGTAAATTATTACAAGCACTGTGGAGAACAGTTTGGAGGTTGCTGAAAAAACTAAAACTAGAGCTACCATATGATCCAGGGATCCCACTGCTGGGTATATACCAAAAGAAAAAAAATCAGTATATCAAAGAGATATCTGCGCTTCTATGTTTGCTGCAACACTGTTCACAATAGGCAAAATTTGGAAGCAACCTAAGTGTACATCACCAGATGAATGGAAAAAGAAAAGTTGGTAGATATATGCAATGGAACATTATTCAGCCCTAAAAAAGAATGAGATCCAGTCATTTGCAACAACATGGATGGAACTAAAGATCATTATGTTAAGTGAAATAAGCCAGGCATGGAGAGAAAAACATCACATGTTCTCACTTATTTGTGGGATCTAAAAATCAAAACAATTGAACTCATGGACATAGAGTATAGAAGGATGGTTATGGGAGGCTTGGAAACATAGTGGGGCACTGGGAGAGGGGTGGAGGTGGGGATGGTTAATGGGTATAAAAGAAACAGTTAGAAAGAATGAGTAAAACCCACTATTTGATAGCACAATAGGGTGACTATAGTCAATAATAACTGTACACTTTTAAATAACTTAAAATGTGTAGTTGGATTGTTTGCAACTCAGTGGATAAGTGCTTAAGGGAATGTACACCCCACACTTCATGATGTGCTTATCTCACATTTTATGCCTGTATCAAAACTTCACATATACTCCATAAATATATGCACCTACTGTGTACCCACAAAAATTAAAAATTAAAATAATTTTAAAAAGGAATTCTTTATCTAACACCAGGCCACAAAGATTTTCTCTAACATCTTCTTTCAAAAGTTTTATAGCTATATATTTTACATTTAGATACTTGATCCACTCTGAGTGAATTTTATATATGGTGTAACTCTTAGGCTGAGACTGATTTGAGTGGCATATAAATCATAAATTGTTCTAAAAATTTTGTTGAAAAGATATTTTTTCATTAATTCCTCTCTCATATTTTTCAAAAATCAAATGGCCATGCTTATACAGATATATTACAATGCTATCTTTTCTGTTACATTGGTCAATGTGTGTATCTCTGATGATGTCACAGTGTCGTGATTACTATAGCATTATAGTAAATCTTAAGTAATGTTATCCCTCCAAATGGATTTTCCTTATCCATTTGGAAAATCCATTTGGAGGAATAACATTACTTAATTTTAAGATTTACTATGATTCCCAGGCAACATAGCTGAATAGGAACAGCTCCAGTCTGCAGCTCCAAGTGAGACCAATGCAGAAGACGGGTGATTTCTGCATTTCCAACTGAGGTACCCAGTTCATCTTGTTGGGACTGGTTAGACAGTGGGTGCAGCCCACAGAGGATGAGCCGAAGCAGGGTGGGGCATCACCTCACCCAGGAAGTGCAAGGGGTCGGGAAACTCCCTCCCCTAGCCAAGGGAAGCTGTGAGGGACTGTGCCACAAGGGATGGTGGATTGTAGCCCAGATACTATGCTTTTCCCATGGTCTTTGCAACCCGCAGACCAGGAGATTCCCTCCAGTGCCTATACCACCAGGGCCCTGGGTTTTAAACACAAAACTGAGAGGCCGTTTGGAGCTAGCAGCAAGTGGTTTTTTTGTACCCCAGTGGCGCCTGGAATGCCAGTGAGACAGAACCATCAACTCCCCTGGAAAGGGGGCTGAAGCCAGGGAGCCACGTGGTCTTGCTCAGTGGATCGCACCCCCATAGAGCCCAGCAAGCTAAGATCCACTGGCTTGAAATTCTTGCTGCCAGCAGAGCAGTCTGAAGTCAACCTGGGACACTCAAGCTTGGTGGGGGGAGGGGCTTCTGCCATTACTGAGGCTTGAGTAGGCAGTGTTCCCCTCACGATGTAAACAAAGCCTCTGGGAAGTTCAAACTGGGTGGAGCCCACCACAGCACTGCAAAGCTGCTGTAGCCAAACTCTTCTTTAGATTCCCACTCTCCAGCTAGGACATCTCTGAAAGAAAGGCAGCAGGCCCAGTCAGGGTCTTATAGATAAAACTCCCATCTCCCCGGGACAGAGCACTTGGAGGAAGGGGCAGCTGTGGGTGCAGCTTCAGCAGACTTAAACATTCCTGCCTGCTGGCCCTGAAGAGAGCAGCCATTCTCCCAGCACAGTGCTCAAGCTCTGCTAAGGGACAGACTGCCTCCTCAAGTGTTTCCCTGACCCCCGTGCTTCCTGACTGGGAGACTCCATCCAGCAGAAGTCGACAAACACCTCATACAGGAGAGCTCTGGCTGGCATCTGGTGCAAGCCTCTCTGGAGCAAAGCTTCCAGAGGAAGGAACAGGCAGCAATCTTTGCTGTTCTGCAGCCTCCGTTGGTGATACCCAGACAAATAGGGTCTGGAGTGGACCTCCAGCAAACTCCAACAGACTTGCAGATGAGGGGCCTGTTAGAAGGAAAACTAACAAACAGAAGGCAATACCATCAACATCAAGATAAAGGACGACCATGCAAAGACTCCATCTGAAGGTCACCAACAACAAAGACCAAAGGTAGATAAATCCACAAAGATGAGGAAAAACCAGCCCAAAAAGGCTGAAAATTCCAAAAACCAGAACGCCTCTTCTCCTCTAAAGGATCACAACTCCTCACCAGCAAGAGAACAAAACTGGACGGAGAATGAGTTTGAAGAATTGACAGAAGTAGGCTTCAGAAGATGGGTAATAACAAACTCCTCTGAGGTAAAGGAGCATGTTATAACCCAATGCAAGGAAGCTAAGAATCTTAATAAAATTTAGAGGAATTTGTAACTAACATAACCAGTTTGGAGAAGAACATAAATGACTTGATGGAGCTGAAAAACACAGCACGAGAATTTCGTGAAGCATACACAAATATCAATAGCTGAATCGATCAAGTGGAAGAAAGGGTATCAGAGATTAAAGATCAACTTAACAAAATAAAATGAGAAGACAAGATTAGAGAAAGAAGAAGGAAAAGGAAGAAACAAAGCCTCTAAGAAATATGGAACAATGTGAGAAGAACAAACCTACATTTGATTGGTGTACCTGAAAGTGACGGAGAGAATGGAACCAAGTTGAAAAACACTCTTCAGGATATTATCCAGGAGAACTTCCCCAACCTAGCAAGACAGGCTAACATTCAAATTCAGAAAATACAAAGAACACCACAAAGATACTCGTTGAGAAGAGCAATCCCAAGACACATAATCGTCAGATTCACCAAGGTAGAAATGAAGGAAAAAAATGTTAAGGGCAGCCAGAGAGAAAGGTCAGGTTACCCACAAAGGGAAGCCCATTAGACTAACAGTGAATCTGTCTGCAGAAACCCTACACACCAGAAGAGAGTGGGGGCCGATATTCAACATTCTTAAAAAAAAGAATTTTCAACCCAGAATTTCATATCCAGGCAAACTAAGCTTCATAAGTGAAGGAGAAATAAAATCCTTTACAGAGAAGCAAATGCTGAGAGATTCTGTCACTACCAGGTCTGCCTTACAAGAGCTCCTGAAGGAAGCACTAAATATGGAAAGGAAAAACTGGTACCAGCCACTGCAAAAACAAACCAAAATGTAAAGACCGTCAACACTATGAAGAAACTGCATCAACTATTGGGCAAAATAACCAGCTAGTGTCATAATGACAGGATCAAATTCACACATAACAATATTAACTTTAAATGTAAAGGGGCTAAATGTCCCAATTAAAAGGCACTGACTGGCTGACTGGCAAATTGGATAAAGAGTCAAGACCCATCAGTGTGCTGTTATTAGGAGACCCATCTCACGTGCAAAGACACACATAGGCTTAAAATAAAGGGATGGAGGAAGATTTACCAAGCAAATGAAAAGCAAATAAAGCAGGGGTTGCAATCCTGGTCTCTTATAAAACAGACTTTAAACCAACATGGATCAAAAAAGACAAAGGGCACTAAATAATGATAAAAGGATCAATGTAACAAGAACAACTAACTCTCCTAAACATCTATCCATCCAGTACAGGAGCACCCAGATTCATAAAGCAAGTTCTTAGAGACTTACAAAGAGACTTAGACTCCCACACAATAACAGTGGGAGACTTTAACACCTCACTGTCAATGTTGGATGTATCAACAAGACAGAAAGTTAACAAAGATATTCAAGACTTGAACTCAGCTCTGGATCAAGCACACCTAATAGACATCTACAGAACTCTTCACCCCAAATCAGTAGAATACATATTCTTCTCAGCACCACATAGCACTTATAATAAAACCGACCACATAATTGGAAGTAAAACTCTTCTCAGCAAATGCAGAAGAATGGAAATCATAACAAACAGTCTCTCAGACCACAGAGCAATCAAATTAGAACTCAGGATTAAGAAACTCACTCAAAACCACACAACGCATGAAAACTGAACAACCTGCTCCTGAATGACTACTGGGTAAATAACAAAATTAAGGCAGAAATAAATATATTCTTTGAAACCAATGACAACAAAGACATAACGTACCAGACTCTCTGGGACACAGCTAAAGCAGTGTTTAGAGAGAAATTTATAGCACTAAATGCCAACAGGAGAAAGCAGGAAAGATCTAAAATTGACACCCTAACATCATAATTAAAAGAACTAGAGAAGCAACAGCAAACAAATTCAAAAGCTAGCAGAAGATAAGAAATAACTAAGATCAGAGCAGAACCGAAGGAGATAGAGACATGAAAAACCCTTCAAAAAATCAATGAATCCAGGAACTGTTTTTTTGAAATGATTAACAAAATAGATAGACTGCTAGCCAGACTAATAAAGAAGAAAAGAGAGAAGAATCAAATAGACACAATAAAAAAAGATAAAGAGGAGATCACCACTGATTCCGGAGAAATACAAACTACTATCACAGAATACTATAAACACCTCTACACAAATAAATTAGAAAATCTAGAAGAAATGGATAAATTCCTGGACACATAACACTCTCCCAAGACTAAACCAGGAAGACATTGAATCTCTGAATAGACCAACAACAATTTCTGAAATTGAGGCAGTAATTAATAGCCTACCAACGAAAAAAAGCCCAGGACCAGTCAGATTCACAGAGAAATTCTACCAGAAGTATAAAGAGGAGCTGGTACCATTCCTTCTGAAACTATTCTAAAACAATAGACTCCTCACTAATTCATTTTATGAGGTCAGCATCATCCTGATACCAAAACCTGGCAGAGACACAACAAAAAAAGAAAATTTCAGGCCAATATCCCTGATGAACATCAACGCGAAAATCCTTAATAAAATACTGGCAAACTGAACCCAGCAGCACATTAAAGAGCTTATCCACCAAGACCAATTCAGCTTTATCCCTGGGATCCAAGGCTGTTTCAAAATATACAAATCAATAAACATAATCCATCACATAAACAGAACCAATGACAAAAACCACATGATTATCTCAGTAGATGCAGAAAAGGCCTACAGTAAAATTCAACACCACTTTATGCTAAAAACACTAAATAAACTAGGTATTGATGGAAGATATTTCAAAATAATAAAAGCTGTTTATGACAAACCTACAGCCAATATCATACTGAAGGGGCAAAAGCTGGAAGCATTCCCTTTGAAAACTGGCACAATACAAGCATGCCCACTCTCACCACTCCTATTCAAAACAGTATTGGAAGTTCTGGCCAAGGCAATCAGGCTAGAGAAAGAAATAAAGGTATTCAAATAGGAAGACAGGAAGTCAAATTATCTCTGTTTGAAGATGACATGACTGTATATTTAGAAAACCCCATTGTCTCAGGCCAAAAACTCCTTAAGCTGATAAGCAACTTCAGCAAAGTCTCAGGATACAAAATCAATGTGCAAAAATTACAAGCATTCATATACATCAATAATAGACAAACAGCAAGCCAAAACATGAGCAAACACCCATTCACAATTGCTACAGAGAGAATAAAATACCTAGGAATACAACTTACAAGGGATGTGAACCTCTTCAAGGAGAACTACAAACCACTGCTCAACAAAATAAGAGAGGACACAAACAAATGGAAAAACATTCCATGCTCATGGATAGGAAGGATCAATATCGTGAAAATGGCCATACTGCCCAAAGTAATTTATAGATTCAATACTATTCCCATCAAGCTACCAAAGACTTCCTTCAGAGAATTAGAAGAAAAACTACTTTAAATTTCATATGGAACCAAAAAAGAGCTGGTATAGCCAAGACGATCTTAAGCAAAAAGAACAAAGTTGGAGGCATCACAACTTTGGTATAAATAAATGTTTAAATAAATAAATAAATAAACCATTTTTCAGAATTAATAGAGGTTCAGAAGAATTAATAAAGGAAAATTTAAGATCACCATTAGAACACCACAGTAATAACTGCTTTAGGCAATGTCCACTAATGAATGCTCTAATTTGTATTGGATGAAACTTTAAGGAGAAACAGGATTGTTTCACAACTTCTAGATTCTTTTCAGAATATTTATAAGTTACTATAGTGGTCTTAATATATATTTTCAAAAATATTTATACTCCTCTCTGAAGGAGGTGAAATTCAGTTCTCTCAAGTGTGGGCTGGATTTCATGACTCACTTTTAAATAGAATATGAAAAGGTTAAAAAATAATAACAATTTTACAGTAGAGAAACCTGGCCAGCAGCACTTTCACCAAGTGCTTATGGTTAACATCACCAGTAATAAGGCATATGATATTAGGTACCCCATACGGTGCAGTGAAAAGGGCCTACCACCTCTGTGGGATTCTTTCCAGTAATGCATAACCTCAAACTAGTCATGAGGAAATCATCACACAAACCCAAATGGCTACAAAATACTGATCATTACTCATAAAATGTCAAGATCATTGAAGACAAGGAAAGATTGAGGAAGTGTCATAGATTCGGGGGGGACTACAGAGATAGGAAGACTACATGTGATGTGGCATCTTGCATTAAATCAGGGAATAAAAAATCAGTAGAAAAACTGGCAGAAACCAAATAAAATCTCTAGCTTAATTAATATTATTGTACTAATGTTAATTTCTTAGTTTTAAGAAATACACCATGGTTATGTATGTTGTTAACAATTGGGGAAGATTTATGAAGAGTATACATCAATTCTTTATACCATGTTTGTAAATGTGTAAATCTAAAATTATTTCAAAATAAAAGACTAAGAAACCACATTTCCTTTTCTAAGTTATAAATAATAAAACATTAACAAGCAAAAAAATAACATTATCTTTGCTTATATTCTCCATCAAAGGAATTAATTATAAGTAAAACACAATCCTTAGATGAAAAAAAAATTTTTCCATTTTAATTAAGTTAGTAGCATCCCACAGTGACTAAGAATTTCGTATTGTATATACAGTAGTCCCCTCTTATCCACATGAAATGCATTCCAAAACTCACAGTGGAATGAAACCACAGATAGTCCTGAAACCTATATATACTGTTTCTTTCTATACATACATACCTATGATTAAGTTTAGCTTGTAAATTAGGCATAGTACGACATTAACAGCAATAACTAATAATGAAATAGAACCATTATAACAATATACTGTAATAAAAGTTATGTGAATATGGTCTTTTTCTTTCTCTTTCAAAATACCTTACAGAACAGTAGTATAGTACCTCAGGTAACGGAAACTGCAGAAAGCGAAAGTATGGGGAAGGGGCGACTGCTGTGTGTTCTTGCATTAGAGATTGTAGGGTATACTCTTGGAGTATATATTTATTGTTTTTGCCAATGTTTTCCCAGTTTTCCTTTACTTCGATAAAAACACAGTGAATTTCCTTAGAGAATTCCTCTCATGCTCAGTTCATTTGATTTTGCATGGGGCAGGATCAATCAGGGCTAGACAGGATTCTAGGATGAGTATATCACTTTTGGTGGTTCAACCAAGGCCAATCCTAGGACATTTTTTAAGGGCCTGAAAAACAACTTTCACTCACATCCATGTGAAGAGACCACCAAACAGGCTTTGTGTGAGCAACAAGGCTGTTTATTTCACCTGGGGGCAGGCGGGCTGAGTCTGAAAAGAGAGTCAGCGAAGGGAGATAAGGGTAGGGCCGTTTTATAGGATTTGGGTAGGTAAAGGAAAATTACAGTCAAAGGGGGGTTGTTCTCTGGCGGGCAGGAGTGGGGGTCACAAGGTGCTCAGTAGGGGAGCTTTTGAGCCAGGATGAGCCACAAGAAGGAATTTCACAAGACAATGTCATCAGTTAAGGCAAGGACCAGCCATTTTCACTTCTTTTGTGGTGGAATGTCATCAGTTAAGGCAAGGAACAGGCCATTTTCACTTCTTTTGTGATTTTTCAGTTACTTCAGGCCATCTGGGCGTATACGTGCAGGTCACAGGGGATGAGATGGCTTAGCTTGGGCTCAGAGGCCTGACAACAACTACATCTCATTCCACTGAACTATTATTATAGGATTGATAAAATCTTAATCATGGAGTTATTTGGGTCCACAGGATGGAGTCTAGAAATGAAATCAACACAGTGGAAAGCAGAGCCAAGGGATGAAATGAATGAGAAAGAAAGAAATACCTGGTCTTGATGAGATTTTTTTTTTCCTTTTATTTTTTTTTTTGAGACGGAGTCTCGCTCTGTCGCCCAGGCTGGAGTGCAGTGGCGCGATCTCGGCTCACTGCAAGCTCCGCCTCCTGGGTTCATGCCATTTTTCTGCCTCAGCCTCCCGAGTAGCTGGGACTACAGGCACCCAGCTAATTTTTTGTATTTTTTAGTAGAGACGGAGTTTCACCGTGTTAGCCAGGATGGTCTCGATCTCCTGACCTCGTGGTCTGCCCGCCTCGGCCTCCCAAAGCACTGGGATAACAGGCGTGAGCCACCTCGCCCAGCCTTGATGAGATTTTTAAAGCCAGTTTATTTGGCTATGTCTTAAGATCATCATCCTTCTGGAAAACTGACCCCAGACTTTTCAGTTTTATCAGATGACAAATTTGTTTATTCTCATTTTATAATTTTTGGGGGTACTGAAGTTAGGTTATATACAATCTACATCAGGGAATGTTCTTTCAATTATCGATGTTAACATATTGTGTAAAATAAACCTGAGGTAGTTGTGTCCATATTTAGACAAAAGATGAAGTAATAATTTATTTTGAATAGTTGATTTATTCCATATCCATTCCATTTAAAGGTGGAGTATAACAACCTCAAACAACCTCATCTTTATTTTGAGTTGCACACAACACATGAGATATTACAAGACAACCCATAACAAGGGTACCAATAAAGAACAATGCAATCAACCAATGCTGTAGAAGTGATAGGTAACTATATGTGCATTATTCAGTAACTAGAGAGAATATGCTGGACAGCATCTACAAATGAGCCCCAAATGACTTAGCTCAAAGTCAGGAGTCTTCACAGTCTCACATAGGTTATAAGTAAATAAATAAACTTCTATTTCTGAACTAAATTAAAAAGAAGCCATACAAATCGAGGATTTGTAGAAGCAAGACTTTAGGCAAACAAAACCATGCCCTTGCTCTTATACCTCCATCCATCTATTCCACAGAAACCACATGAATTAAGAAGCATGTGTATATCTCCCACTTGCTTTCTCATGATTCTATGCTTTCAGTTCCATCCAATTCCCTGGTTAATCTGAAATGCCACATTAAGTATATAACTCATAAGGTATAAAAAACTGACTTTTCCATTCTTATGTGTTATTTCATGACACACTCAAAAGAAAACAAGTGCTTTTGAGAAAAGATCTCTAAACTGAGGATATATATTACTGGACTCCTTACTTAGAAAACCATAGCAAGTAGGATAAGATTACATCCATAGCATGCAGGTGACATGATTGTAAAATCAGGGCCTATTGGATTCTTTTCCAAATGAATCAATTTATCATTCTTTAAATTTCTTACTCTCAACAAACTCCTTACCCTCCTCTCACCCTTATTTACCCAAATGGTTCATCAATTAAGTTGCATAGAACTCTACATGGAAGATTTACAAAGGCGTGATAAGAGGACTGGCAGTGCTCTTCAATTCACTCTTTGAGAAGGAAGGGCATGTGGAAATGGCACTGATTTGAATGACATTTGGAGTAATGGCCTGCCATTCTGCTGGCACTTTTAGTGTTAAGCAAGTGATCTGCAAAGTAAAGTGGATTCACAGTTAGAGTCAGCACCAGTGCACAGGTCGCCCGTAAAAATAGAAGATTCCATTATTCTTCAGGCTCCCTAGAGGGAGCAAGGTCTCTAGCATCATTACCAGGACTAAATCTGACTTTTCTACCTCCCCTAATTTCCTCCTAGTAATTATAGGTCAAGCACTCTTTTGTAAATCATAAAACCTTTGTTCTTATAAAAAATGAATAGCTGAGGAAAAAATTATAAAAAGAGTCTAAGGAAAAAAAATTTCAATTAGAAAACCAAGCTAATTTGGTATGACCAAAGACTGTCAGGCATACTGACAGTGCTCTATTATGCAGTCATTTGGGCTCTTTCAAATTAGTTATGTTAATGTCCTGTGAGTGAATGTAACACTTGGATGGGACAAGATTTCTGCAATTAATTTCTGCAGTCAGTGGAGAGACAAGCAAATTTATTTTCCCCCTCTCTGGGAATTGGTAGTGGAGGGTGTGAGGTAGCGAAAGTGCATTTAGGAACAGAGTACAAGCTAAACACAAGCCCTAAATAAAGCAGAAACAATGGGAGCCAATGCCTCCTCATTCATTCAATTGACAATGTTTTGCAGCTTAAACCTGTTTTATTAATTATGTTTGACATTTCCTTAATTAGTTTCATTTACACCAAATCAATCCCTACTGCTGTATGGCATCATTTATCATTTTGAAAAATTTGCATACTGAGTGCTGACTTTTCCTACTTAATTATACATTAAAAGTGTCAAGCGCGCTTGCTGCCTGGCATTATCTGCGGCAGAAAGGTTTGTGGCTGGACGGTGATGGTATTAATCATTAAGAGCCCCCAAGTGCTGCTGGGTAATATCTGGGGAGTAGAGTGGCTCTCATTTTAACGCTAGAGAGCAGAAGTGCTTTTGTAAAATGACCCAGAGCAAAAACAAAATAAATGACCTAAAACATCCGGTATACTATAATGCTTTGCTCTTTCAATAAAAATATGCTTTGGTGGGAAGACTTACTATTAACTATTCATTTTCTGTAAATTTAAACACTATGAGTCCACTAATAGTACATTTGTGGTCTCTGCTTGGACCTGAGAACAAGATATTTGGGTTGAATGTATAATGGTGGCTTGGTAGTATACTTCCAATATATGCCAACTCAAATGTGTTACTTTACAAATGAAAGCTGCAAAATATAGTATACCATTAATACAGTGATTGATGTTGCTCATTTCTTTTCTACTTATAAACTTTCAATGAATAAGCAACTACTTTCCATAGAACACAACTGAACAGAGAATATGGTTTACAATCTAATATTATAACAGAACTTCACTTGCATACCATAATCGTTTTCATTGTTATAAATTTTCAGTGAAAAATATGACTCTTCAATTTTGAAGCACAAAGCATGATTGTGAGCAACAGTAATGAAAGAGTTAACAAGAACCTGTTTGTAAATTGTATACCAGCTATGCCTTCCTTCGTGTCAGAACCCAAACTTAGTGCATTTAATATTCAAATTCATTTTCAAATGCTTGCCCATTAACATAATATATGCCACTTTGCAAGCCTGGTCAGAGAAATCTGTAACTAAATAATTTTCAAGTTTCCTTCATATCAGATGCATTATATGCAGTGTGAAATTATTTCCCCACTCTATCCCTTTGCTTAACAGCAGAAAAGCAACACACAATATAGTGGATATTACTGCAAGTACATTACATTCTTTAGAAGCTACTATATATGCAGGAAAGTTTATAATTCCTAATTTCAAGTAAGCAATTAATTGCATAGTTTGTGTATAACTGTAAAGTTAATATGCAATTGCAATGCAGCACTATTTAGAACTTAGATAAAAGGAATGTATATGGCGCAAATATATTTATGCAAATATAATAAATAACTCATTTGTGTTTTCAGTTAAATGTCCTGTGTTTCTAATAATTCCATCATTAAGTGTACTTTTTTCATATAAAAATTCAGTAGTGAAAATATACATCTAATTTAAATGTGTAATGTTGGGAAACACCAAAATGATCCATGTATCTGGAGACAATTCAGTTCAATTTTAAAATAAGATTGAAACCAATAGTATAGTTTTTATATACCTGTGTCTCCTAAATTTTATATCTTTAAATCCATATATATATTTTCTTACCATTTTAAGCCATAATCCTTCATTCTAGGTACAGATTTTAAAAGGGCAAATAGCTTTCCTTATCAGGAAAGAATAATAAAATATCATAAATAATAATGATGATGATAATAAGAGATAATGTTTTAACACTTATTATGTTCCAGTCACTATGCTAAATGTTTTCTATTTATTATCCTAATCCTCACAATAATCTGATGAGACAGATATATAATTACCCAATAATCTGATGAGACATATATAATTACCCCACTAAGGCTTCCGGCTTTAAGTAACCAGTCTAAGGTCACAGGTCTATTAAATGGCAAAATTCAGGGTCACAAGATTGCCTCTCTAAAGTCCATGTTTCCAGATTTTGCTAAACTACATCTGTTCACAATCTTCCATGAACCTCTCAATGCATGTGTGCTATGGTAAAAAGGATACCAGCTTTTTTGAAACTGACTGATGTGTTAAATCTATCACTTACAATTACATGATTTTGGCAATTTACTTAAATTTCCTGGGTTCTTTTTCATTTATAAATTGGACACAGAGTACCAACTTCACATCAGTATTAGTCACATCATAGTCGGTAAGTGACAAAGGTGATTTGTCCTTTCTCTATCAGATGTAAAACACCTGTTTAAATTTGACCCTTCAATAAAACTTAAGCTCTACTTTGTTGGTTTTGCTCACTGTGGTCTCCCAAGGGCTTAGAACAAGGTGGCCACATCCTAGAAATTCACAATTGTCCATGATTGAGTCTATGCACAGTAAATGTTTTATTCTCTGCAAGTGAACCCGTCTGTCATTATCAAATAATCTTCCTCACCCTGGTTCTCACAATACACCCAGAATCTAGTTGGCTTGAGAAAAAAATTACCTTCCTCTTGTCCATTTCTCCTCCACTGCATTCTTACTCTATGTCTAGGGCCAGGGTACTTCTAATGCTCCCTCACCTGTGAACCTGCTTAGTGGAAACTGGGTTAAGGGCAGAAGTTAATTTATGTTCCTAATCTAATCAGAGCTAACTCAGAGTTAAACCCAAACAGAAAATAAAGACTGCAATTCTTTACAAACAGCACATTCTGTATTATGTAGCGGTGCAATAGTTTTAATATGAGTTGATAACCTGATCCAAAGACAAAAAAAAATTTACCCAGGGTAATTAATATCTGATTACAATATTTTGGAAGGTATTTGAAATTGCAAATGTTAAGATTGTAGAAGTAGATTCTTCCTGGCACTGGATTTTATTTCATGTATTTAAAAGAGAAAGTCTTCAATGTGTGAATTGAAATTCAAATAATCACACATTGAAATAAAAGTATGCATGCATGAGTCACATAAATATAAAGTGAGTTTATATACACATCCCACAAAGCTTTACTTGCTTCCCTATATGGAATAGCTCCAGATACATGTGGCCTTTCAAGAACACATGCGTGCACACACACACACACACACAAAACACACACGCAACACAAACACAGTGGGTGTGCACATATATATGCATATTATATATACACACATACGTTTTATATATATATATATACATATATTCTACAGTTCAGAGACTCTCTCGTTAAAAAATTAGCAAAACTCATTTACTTGGCTCTTACAGGATTCATTAACCTTTGTCTTCTTTCAAGAAACCAGGAACTATTCTAAAACTGACATTGTCATTAAAAACCAATAGGAAATCACCATTTTTAAATTAAAGTCATTAGCTAAGTTTTTCAAGAGTTAAAAAAAGATTGGAAAAAAATTCAAATGAGAAAAATAATTTTGCTTTGGGTGTAAAAAGACCCCAAGAGGAATTTCTCAAGTTTTGTTAGAAAGTACTCTTTTGCGATCAGAATATCACTATGAAAATTCAACCTAGAGTGTTTTTAAGGGTTTAACTCTTTCATGCTTTAAAATGAAACAACTCTTTAATAATAAGTATATGATTACCATGTTATACAATAAAAGAAAAATAAATATTGCAAAATAGGGCTAAAAATATTTTACAGAGACAGACTTCTAAGAACCACATAAATATTTCATAATTTGTTAATAGTTCATTAACTTTTAATTATAGATTGGTATAATAATTACACTCCCACTATCAAAGAAACACTAATATCCTTCTTACTTATTTTTTGATAATATAATTCCTTAAATTGTGATGTAAACAAACTATATAATTCTTCATATGTGAACTATCTTTTTCTATTGTCCAAATGATGTCACATTTATTCTAGCACTTTTGCCTAGACCTATCTATGCTATGGGTTCCTACTCAGAGAAATGGCTTCTGTTTAGATGATGACCACCTAAACCTAGAAGTATAAGTGGTAATTGTGGAAATTTTAAAGAGTGTGAAGTTAACCCCAGCCATAGCTTTATAACTGCCATTCTATAACACACTAAACTTGGTAATATTGAACATGACTTTGGAATATAATTTCTACTATTTCTCTTTCATATTGAGTTAGCCAGAGAATCACATAAACTGTAGCATAATAATAATTCCACTGTCAATTTTCTGTATTTGTCTCACTTACTCCTGTCCTATTTCATATTGTTATCCCTTAATGTCACTAAAATAGCCTTCAAAGAAAACATCCTGCCTCTAGGCAGTTTCTCTATATTTCTATGTATATATACACACTACTGGATTTCTTTTTTTAATACCATGATCATCCTGCAACTTCCCATCTCAGAAACACTCCCAACTTTCTTTTTTTCTTTTTTTCTTTTTCTTTTTTTTTTTAGATGGACTCTTACTCTGTCACGCAGGCTAGAGTGCCGTGGCGCGATCTCAGCTCACTGCAAGCTCCGCCTCCCGGGTTCATGCCATTCTCCTGCCTCAGCCTCCCAAATAGCTGGGACTACAGGGGCCCACCACCACACCCGGCTAATTTTTTGTATTTTTAGTAGAGACGGGGTTTCACCATGTTAGCCAGGATAGTCTAGATCTCCTGACCTCGTGCTCCGCCCACCTCGGCCTCCCAAAGTGCTGAGATTACAGGCATGAGCCACTGCACCCGGCCAACACCCCCAACTTTCCATGTGAATTACCAATTGTTTCATTCTCCAGTCAGCTAAAAACACTGTCTCTTAAATATTTTTTCTAGGTTTCCCACATCACTGAGGCTTTTAATATACATTTGCTCTAGTTCTGAATACTCTGCCATTTGCTACCTGCATATCCAGTTTTACTAATTGTGAAATCCTCAATTGAAAATGATATCTTCTTTCTCTGGTTTCCTATAGTATTGCAAGCACCATATATTAGTGTTTATAATTTACCCTATAGCATTGTTTGTTACAGTTTACTGTTTGCATATGCTCTTCCCCATACTACATCACGAGTTTCTTGGGAGATGATACTAAGATTTCTTTTTCTTCATATATCAGAAATACCATGGACATTGCAACTGATATGTATTTATCTGTATCCTCATCTACTCTATGAGTTCCTTAAGGAATAATACAATGCTTAAAATAATTTCTGGCTCACAGTCAACATACATGAGATTCTGTTTGAAAATTAAATAAAACAAAATTTCCCTTTTGAGCTGCTATTTTTTGCAAGACCAGATAAAACTATTATAGAGAGAAAAATAAAGCAAAGTATTATTATAAAATGTTTTGTCCTTCAAAAAACTTGCCATTTCAATAAATCTTTAAGAAATTTTATTTGGAAGTCAAACAGCTACATTACAAGTTACTTTTATTATGTAATTACTGTTATGTAATTTTAACATTTTAAAAGTGGAGTACACTTGTATTCAACTCTTTCAATTAATATTTTACAAGAAAAACATAAAATGACTTTTTTCAGCAGGTGACTTGGAATGTTTATGAATGTTTACTGTCTTAAGAAAAGGAGACAAAATCAGACATTTCTGAATACAACATTTTCAAAAGACACAATAGAAATCAAGAATACAATAACACAATCAGGAAGCTTTTGAAACAATTGTGTGTCAAATTGTGTACTCAAACATTACGTGTTATAATTGTAGGTTATTTAATATGGCTCAGTCTATTTCTAAATTCCCGAGTCTTCAAAAGCCAGGTGTAAGTAGTAAGCAATGAAGTATGTCTCAAGAGGTAAGACTAACCTGAGACTGGCTGCTTTAATGTCAAGAGTTTTGGCAAATAATGCTTTATTAGAAAAGTAAGTAGCAGTCCAACATGAACAACAACAAAAGTAATGAGAAAATAACGAAAAAAAATTTTGGTAGAGTGCCTTTATTTTCCCTGAATAGCTTGCTAAAAATCTAATATTTTTTTTAAAAAATGAAAGGATAAAATAGCCCTTGTTATTCATGAAGGTTATCCTAATTTTCCTGTATGAAAAAAGAGAAGAAGATTTGGCAGATTAAAAAAGAAAAGAAAGGCAAAATAATTACACAATTAAAAAGTTATCAAATTTTTTGCTTTTGTTTCCTTTTAAATTAAGTGTAATTAAAAAGTTTTATTAAATGTAATTAAAAAGTTATCAGCATGATTAACATTAAGTCAAAAGCTACAGATTAAAAATATTTTAAGATAAAACATCAAGTCTAACTTTTAAATTGAGAATGCCAGCTTTTTCTTTAAGTGTGCATGACTTAAATTTATTTTAATTTTCCAAACTATTCCATCCTCTTAGGACTTTTCTGACTAAGACGAGATTTAAAAATTATTCAATTCAATTGAGAGAGAAGGAAGGAAGAAACCAGCCAGGCAGGCAGTTAGGGGAGTCCTTAGCAAAACTCCTTCAAACCAAAAACAGCCTGAAAATCAAACTGCAGGCCCCAGATAAGGAAAAGCCCTTGTCCTTGAATGGAAACACCTACTCTGTGAACCCAGATGAACAAATTCCACTCCTTTTTGGACACAGTTCTATCTCCTTGGTGTGCCTTAGTATTTTACTTTTCACGTATTTTACGTATGTCTACCTTTTTGTGATTGGCCACAGTCCGAGTTTTCATTTACACAGGGTCAATCATCGCTTCAGCCCCTGATTGGTCCTGGGCCAAGGTCCCAGGTTAAGCCTTCACCTCTGCCTCCAATTGGTTCTTTGCACTATCATACCTCTTTCTGAGTAGTGCTTTCTCCATGACAGCCTGAAGACCAATCAGCACACTCCTCCCTCTTCCCAGTCCATGAAAACCTTGGACTCAGCCTCATAGCTAGCAAACCTCTTTAGGGTCCCCTGTCTTTGCTGAGAGCTTTTCTGTCACTTAATAAATCTGACTCTGCCTTACTCTCTGGTGTCCATGCACATTTTTCTTCTTGGTTGTGGGACAAGAACCTGGAGCTTACCACTGGTGGGAGTGAAAGAGCTGTAACACTCCCTCCCAGTCACCAAACAACACGATTGAGAAAGCTGCAACACAATTGGACTAGGCAAAAAGACAAGGTGTTGATTTACTATTAAAAGTTCCCTGGTAGATAAGAACTCTGGAACTCAGTGTCTTCAAGATATTCATCACTTATTATGTGGTGGCAAATATGGGCAACAGTGGCTTTATTGAACTTACTAGTACTCTAAGTAGCTTAGGCAAAAGTTCTAGAGTTCTGACTGTTATAGTTTGTGTCACATACCCATGTTATAGTTTGTGTCACATACCCAGTCCTGACTTAATCAAAGTGGTGCCCAGGGTAACATAATGTATCCACTAGACAGGTCTGAGAATTTCACCAGTCTGCGGGCAGGGGCTGGGGTCAGCCCCACCTCAACCATATGAAATCAATTTGATCCACCAAAAGAAACATTGACACCAACAAGATGAACATAAGAGAGAAATAATTTTTAAAAACACATGGAAATTGATATATATGTATATACATATATACAAATTGGGAAGCTTGAATTCCCAATGTAAAAGTTAGCCTTGATGTTTTATATCCTATTTGTTTTATCTGCACCTTTTATCTGAATATGACTCATGCTTTTATATATATATATACATATATATACAGACACACACACACACGGTATATATACACACATTATACCAAACTGTATATATTTATCAAATATATATATTACAGATAGATAGATTTTTATATATTTCATTTGTTTGGTGATTATGCACATACATAATTGTTTAATAAAAATAAACATTACATTTCATAAAATACCTGACTGTACCCACTTTCCTAAATATATTAAACATGTTAATAGTATTTTTGTTTCCATATTACATTTGGCTATGTATTAATATCATAAGCTTACTAAGTTCTGAATATAATTTGGGCGTATTGACCAAAAAAAGTATAGTCTGTTATTTGACATGGTTAAGAAATGAGGATCTTGCCGGTCACAGTGGCTCACGCCTACAATCCCAGCACTTTGGGTGGCCGAAGCGGGTGGATCACCTGAGGTCAGGAGTTCGAGACCAGCCTGACCAACATGGAGAAACCCCATCTCTACCAAAAATATAAAATTATCCGGGCGTGGTGATGCATGCCTGTAATCCCAGCTACTTCAGGAGGCTGAGGCAGGAGAATCGCTTGAACCTGGGAGGCGGAGGTTGCAATGAGACGAGATCACACCATTGCACTCCAGCCTGGGCAACAAGAGCGAAACTCCATCTCAAAAAAAAAAAAAAAAAGAAAAGAAAAGAAAAGAAATGAGGATCTCTAAAATAACATTATCATTAATTTCTTTATGTTTGGGCGGTGAAGTCCTCACCTTGAATCATTGCCCTCTGTTGGCCACTTCCAAGATCCAAGCATGCATAGATATATATTTAGAGACTGGGAAAGTTATATTTGCAAGTATGCACAGGAGAATCCTGGGACATAATTTAAAGTGTGCCCATTCTGGGGTTCTGCTATATGTCTGGCATGTTCTGCTATATGTCTGCTACATGTCTGGCAAACTGGGGATGGGTGGAGAAAAGTTTTAGTGAACCAGACATGATAAATTTAAGTCAACATCATATCACCAGTCATGCCAGATAAGAAGGCATTCAGTACAAGATGGTCACTCATAATTGATCCATTGCCAGTAGAGTTCCTGGATGCATGACCAACAAAAGAAGACTAAAATAAAAATTGGAAACCTGTAACACTTTGGGAACACCGGATCACTCCCTCAGGCTCCTTAACAGTGCCATCAGAAAAATACAAAGAAGGCCCTCCCAATTCCACCATAGGCCACTTCTGAGTTTGGGTCCAAGGCAGTCAACAGTGGAAAGGACTGCTGTGAGTGCCTCAGTAAAGCAGAGGAAGCATAGACTTGTGCTGTGCAGTGTAATGTGGGGTAGCAGCAGGGTTTGTAAGGGATGCAAAGAACAGGAAGGCGCTGCTGTTGCCTCATGGAGCTGTGGTTCAGCAATACAGCACATCAGAGCTGGGTAAGTATGTGGAGACCTGAGAAATTCATCCATTTCTGAGTAAATATGAGCTTCACTTGGGGACATACAGAGATATTTAAGGAGCATTTGCACTTCTGCCACTTACTAGCAGTATGACTTTGAGCAAGTTAGGAATCTCCTCTATGTCTCAGTTTCCTCATCTATAAAATAGAGATAATATCAGCCAGGCGCAGTGGCTCACGCTGTAATCCCAGCACTTTGGGAGGCTGAGGCAGGCCAGTCACTTGGGGTCAGGAGTTCAAGACCAGCCTGACCAACATGGTGAAATCCCATCTCTACTAAAAATACAAAAATTAGCTGGGTGTGGTGGCATGCACCTGTAGTCCCAGCTACTCAGGAGGCTGAGGCATGAGAATCACTTGAACCTGGGAGGTGGAGGCTGCAGTGAGCCAGCCAGTGCACTGATTGTGCCAGTGCACTCTATCCTGGGTGACAGAGCAAGACTCCATCTCAAAAAAAAAAAAAAAAAAAAAAGAAAACCAATGATAATATTATTGTTGTTGTTGATTTGAGGATTGTTTTAATATACTTGCCAAAAACTCACAACTATTATCTATTTTTATTGCTACAGCTATTGTTTACATTATTTCTCCAGTAATTTGAGAAATAATTTTGGGTCTTCAGTACCTTTGAAGACAAAGCAATAGAGTGGAAGGAGCATGAACTTGGGAGTTTACAACTCTATTACTGTCTATGTGAATTGGGAAAACTTGCATATAACACTTTAAGCTCAGTTTTCTTATCTATAAAATAATCATAATACACCTTTTCCCCCAGAATTATTAAGGAAAGCCATGATAAAATAACAAAACTATTAAGTAATACTAATCAAAATTTTGTAAGTACTTATTGTGTACCAAATATTGGTCCAAGGGGTTTAATTCATGAATTCACATAATCTTTCCTCATAGGAACATTATGAAGTAGGTACTGTTATTGTCTCTGTTTTATAGAAAAGGTAACTGAGGTGCAAATCACCTTCCCAAGGCCTCACAACTAGTAAGGGACTAAAGCAGGATTTGAATAGAGCTTCTGGTTAAAAAGTAAACAGCCTTAAATGCCATACAATACTACCTCTCAATGGTTGGAAAACTGTAGGTGTTCAGTAAACAGCAGCTGTCATTATTATTTGGGTCTTAGCATATCCTGATTATTCTACAGATGTTCAGAAATACTTGTCAATAAATAAAAGGTATTGAATTAGAATAAAGTATTGTGCTTTATAAGCCAATGTATTTCATATGTACTCGAAATATTCCATTCATGGTTGACATTTTAAAAATATTTGATAATGCATCAAAACAGAATTTCAACAGTACTACTCAGGATCAGATTTGTTTTCATGTGTAGTCAGTCTTTGTCCATTCAGGCTACTATAACAAAATACCATATACTGAGTAACTTATACACAACAGAAATTTATTTCTTATAGTTTTAGAGGCTGGGAAGCGTAAGATCAACGCGCCAGCAGATACAGTGTCTAGTGAGGGCCCATTTCCTCGTCCATAGGTGGTGCCTTCTCCTTGCGACCTCTCATGGTGAAGGGGCAAATGAGTTCCTTTGGTCCTGTTATAAAAGAGCACTAAAGCTATTCATCAGGTCAGAGCCTGTCAAAAAGCCTGGCCTCTTAATACTATCACCTTGGGGGTTAGGGTTTCAACATATGAATTTTGGGAGAACATCAGGAGAGATCAGATAAACATAATAAAAATAGTTTTTTCTAGGTATCTGTATACACTCTGTTGACTCAATCATGTTTTAATAATGAAAAAGTAACATCTCTATTGTATATTTATTTCTTTCTAAAATCATCTTGAATTTATGTAATCTCATAGAAATTGTGGCTATTTCAAAATAATCAGTAGATAAAATTTATTTTGGATGTTTCACCAACAGATATTCTGATTATTAATTTATGACCATATATTGAGTTATTTTTCTTTTAGAAGTTATAAAGAAATATTAATTGTGCCTAAGTCATCTAAAGATGCTCTAGCTATCAAAATAGAGCATTACATAGACACACATTTTCATGCTAAATTAAGATTAATTGTAATAATGACCTAACTCTTGACCTTTATTTTAAGAATTATAAATTGCATGGGGCATATTTTAGTTGTTCAGTTAACTCTTTAGAAAATAATGCATGAACCAACTAATGAGTATTATTAGACAATTATTTTTTCACAAATAAGTTGTATACTAAAATATTAAATTTAGAGTTTTTGATGTGAAAGTATGTTTAAATATAGGTATTAGGTAAAAAGTTAGTTGAAAAAAATTAGCCCCAAAATGAAAAATATTGATGGAAACATAATTCAGTATATTTAATTTTATATTATTCATATCCTTAGAGGTTAGAATCTACATAGGTAAAGTTAATCATATGCTGGTCTAAAATAGTCCCTAAAATAATTTTAATTATCTTTAACTTTTTCCCTGCTAATATTTACTCTAATTCAATTTGAATTCTCCTCTCTCTCTTCCTCTCTTACTCAGGAACACATAGAAATTCTTTATAATTTTTGTCCTAAAGAGAATTACTTCTTATTAACTCTTTAAGCATAAAAAAATTAAATTTTGTACTTATAATATAGCTTTTTTTTTTTTTTTTTGGCTAACTGCTTTGTTGGCACTAAAGTTAAATAGCCTAATGCCAAATTCTCCATTTTAAAGCAGCTTGTGCAGATTGCCATTTTTCCTACTTGAATTTAGTTTTTATACTAAAAGGAAAGGGCTATTAAAAATCAAAATTGATTACTATTAGATGCTCCGAATACAATTTTGAACTTGAGAGCACCCCTCTCTCCTATCAGCACCACCCTGAGGTGATCCACACACTGACCGTGGAATACATTTACCAGGCCCCCATACACAGGCTTGGCATTCTGTCCTAATCATTCTTTTCATAGCACAATTTGTGGGTCTCTGTGAAATGCAGCTATTGGTAGTTCTGCCTGAACTCAAATGAAGTGATATTGAATTTCTATTATGCATGTGCCTTGGAAACCTCACAGCTCTCCATAAAGATTTTATTCACACAGCAGATTTGTTGTGACTTAGATAGTTTCAGACAATTTTAGATTTGAATGGACATGGCAGAATCTGACAGTATAAAAAAAAAATTAGGAGAAAGAAACATGTAGAACCAAATGATATATTAAGCAACCTCCAGAACAAAGCAAAGAGAATACTTGTGATTGTAGTAAACAAAACCAGAAAGTATGTCTTTGAAGGGCTTCTCATGGGGGCTAATCTTTGTATATTGCATATATGAGCTGGTGATGGAACTTGCCAACTCCTTTCATCCTACAAATTAAGTTTTGATAAAGCCCTCTTCCTTATATAACCTTCATGTGTTTGAAATAAATTGTTCATAATAAGACACATTCTAGTTTTCATATATTTTCCCAATAATCTAGGACACAAATACAAAACAGAATATAAATGCAATTGCGAACAAACATTCATTCCTCAACTAGAATTTAAAGGATTTAATTGGAAAAGGACGAAGAGTAATTTTTGTTGTAAATATAATATATGGAAAGTAAATAACAGTAAAATTAATTCATGGCAAAAGGAGGAAGAGAGGAGTTAATATATTTAGGTAAAAAAATGAATGTAATATGAAGTTTTCTTCATTAGAGAGTGCACCATGCATCAGTCATAATTTAGGCTCTGCAGAAATAACACTGAACAATGTAGACAATATTCATTATTGCATGGAGCTTATTTCCTAATGGGAGAAAACAGTTAATAAATAAGTAAATAAATTAAAGAAATAATAATTCTAGGTAGTAATAAACACTATGACAAATATAAAATAGAGTCATGGGACAGAATCTATCTGTGATAGTGGCAGGGTGTGAGGGGGGCCTACTTTATTTTTGGTGGTCAGAGAGGGTTTCAAAAAGAGATGATGTGTATTAAGCCATGAACAAGAAGGCAGTCATAAGTAGGTCTATGAGCAGAGCAAGCCAGATCCACATACTAACTCGTGCAAAGTCCCTTTTTAGGCTGATTTTTCCATCAGATGGAATTTTTTCAGACCACACAGTTACATTACTTTAAAAATATTTCACCTTTGGAAAAGAAGTTGGGCAGAGGGTGAGAACGAGGAGAGAAATACAAAGGAAAATACCTAGTAGCTATTTTAGGTGTGTCAAAACATGTTTCCCTTGATAGATATTAAGAACTATATATACCTAAGGAAAAAATCAAGATAAATAGTACATTTAGTTATTCACTTTTGGAAGCTTTAGTTCTGACCCCAAATCACTCAGCCATTTTTTTAACCATGATCATTCTCTATTTTCCCAAGTAATGTTTATGTGTTTGATTTCTATGAGTATTCATTTTATGTGAATTATTTAATATAACCCACCCTGGCAACACTTACTAACTCTGCAAAAATTATCCAAGAACTGTACTCTCAACATTCTCCTTCATTCCCTCTGCTTCTCTCTAGATTAGCTTCCCAAAGTTATGATACTCTGCCTCCTTCATGTCACAGAGGAGGACTATATGATGTATTACTTCATACTGAGATGTTAGCAGTTTATTTATCATATTTGAAAAGAAAGTGAGAGAAAAGGTAATTGTCAATACAAAGTAACGTATGTCTACATAAGGTATTTCAAACATCTAGCAACCCTGACAGAAAAGATATTTCTAAGTAAAATTATCATGCTGCTGCCCTTCAAATCACACCATTATTCAGCCTGCATGTAAGCATGACTTTGGGTAGAGATCGAGATGAGCTCTGATCCAGAAGCTTTCAGATAAGCATCATCAGTCTAGAGGACCTCTCAATTGGCCAAGTTTTTAGATATGAATTTTAATTACCAATATTGGAGGTGGAACCTGGTAGGAGGTGATTGGAAGATGGGGGTGGATTACTCATGAATGGCTTAGTACCATCCTCATGGTACTTTCCTTGTGATAGTAAGCTCTGGTAAGATCTGGTGGTTTAAAAGTGTGTGGCACCTCCCCCTCTTCCCACTTCTGCCATGTGATGTGCTTTTGCCTTCCGCCATGATTGGAAGCTTCCTGTGGCCTCCTCAGAAGCAGATGTCCTGTACAGCCTGCAGAGCTATAAGCAAATTAAACCTCTTTTCTTATAAATTACCCAGTCTCAAGTATTTTTTATAGCAATGTGAGAATGGCCTAATACATGAATTACATGGATCTATGATGTAGATTTGAAGTTGCCTTTACAATCAAGAAATGTTTATAACCTCAACATTTTAACCTCTTTGAGGGCAAGGACAATACCCATCCCAATCATGTCATATATTCCCCAATAAAACAGCATTTGGAA
Organism: Homo sapiens; assembly: GCF_000001405.40. NCBI lineage: Eukaryota > Metazoa > Chordata > Mammalia > Primates > Hominidae > Homo > Homo sapiens. The sequence goes on along the minus strand of NC_000005.10, from coordinate 91,727,939 downwards.
TTGTTAAAGAAAGAGTCCACTGGACAAGTTAAATAGGTAAAGAAAAATTTAATCAAGACTATCACAATAGGGAAGAGAGACTGAACTCACCTCTGCTGAGACCCTGAAACCAAAGATGGGAGAGACTTTAAGCAGCAAAGTGAGCTAATGGAAAAATATTGGCAGATGTTAGGGAGGAGACTGACCAGTGTGATTAAGCCATCCGTATTTGCTAATTGGCATTTATTTAAGTAAGGCTCCTCCAGTCCCACAGAGACTGAGAGACAGAGTGCTCTTTCCTGATAATTACATTTCAAAGGGATGGCTTCCAGGTCCTTGAGAAAGACATTCCTCAGTTGTAAAACTGGCAAGAAGTTAGGAGAAGATTTATATATCAAAGAGAAAAAATTTACAATTGCAAATTCCCTAAAGTACATGCTCCAGGAAAAAGATGTTTAGGAATCTATAGTCAGGAGGAAACCTGTCTAAAGTTGAGTGAAACGGAGAGGAACCTTAAGGCCATCTCGGTCAAAATGTAGTACTTTCTCAATAAATATTTGCTGAATAAATGAATGAATATACCTTCCAAATATTTTAGGACTCTAGCCAGACTTTGAAAACTTCTAATCACAACATATCTAAGTCATTATTTTAACATGCCCTTAGCTTATGAATTCTGTAAAATCTAAATCTTTCACACCATTTTGTTCTGTTTATTATAATGCTCAGCATATAATATATATAGATGGTAATGAATAGCTTAAATACATATGTGTTGTCTTTTGGGCTTGAATTTTTGTATTTAGGCCTCATTTTTTCCCTTATCTTACTGTGTTAATTTTCTTTTCTTTTTTTTTTTTGGCATGGCAGCCAATTATGAGATGTTTTAGGACTAAGATAATTTCAATTCTCATTTGAAATGGATTATTTTCAACAAAAGTTAATGGAGAGGAAGAAACTTACTTTGTTAAAGTGACCACTCAATCTAAGTATTTTATTTGCCCTTCTCCACTGAGGACTATGCCCGGTTACTTAATGAAATCTCAAATTACCAAATAGAGTACACTCTCCAGGGTCCAGAAAGTCAATAAAATGTAATAATTTGCATTTCCTCTTCAAAAATTCAAAGAATAAATGTTTATTTTGGCATGTTAAAATGCTCTCACAATCTCAATTTATTGTTCTTTAGAATAAAACAATGACCTGATGGCAAGACAGAGTAAATGCTTCAACAAAACCCAAAGAGTAATGTAGAGTCACTTTCCTGCCTGATTTACATGGAATAGAACATTGCGTGCCAGGACCATTGAGCTTTACCCTCCCAGTAGTGCATCTGAGAACAAATTATGATAATCTCAAAATCCTACTGATGCTCAAAGACATTTCATCAACTGAAAAACAAAATTAAGAGTAAAACGCAGAAGATTTTTTTTTTTCACTATTTAGAGGAACTCAAGTTTATATGAATAGGCCTCATGTGGGGAGTCTTTTGAAGCTAGGGACTTCAAAGCAGATCACAGACTTCCAGTGGGTTAATCACTTAATGCAAGAGTGGGTAGATGGAATTACCACCATTCAGTCAAGCTAAACTTATCCTTTTCTTGGGAGATAGCAAGAAAATGCCCATCTTTTAGTTCCCAACAGTACCCTAGTTGAACATGTCTGTGAAGTTGCTCTGCTTACAAGTTATTTTATATAAGTCAAAATGGAAAGAAGTTCCAAATGGCTACTAGTGCCATTTGATGCACCATTTCACTTAGGGGGCATTATCTTTCTATTTGCTGCAAATATTAGGTTTTGAGCATTAAAACACACCCATTCAACACATAACAGATTACCAAAAAAAGAGCAGCAAGATTATATAAAGTTAGATTAGAAAGAAAGCTGGACTTTCTGACTACAAAAACAATTTTAGAAAGAACGTTGTACACTGATGCTCTAAAATGTAGAAATCATCTGAAATGCCTAGAAACGAGTAGGAGATGGAAGGGTGGGTATGATGTCCACCAAACTCACATCCAATGATCATCAGTGAATGTAAAAAATCACTTCATGTGATCATAAATAAACAGGTAGAAAATAAATAAGCCTGTGAAAAATAATTCCATATGTTCCAGCCTCATAGTTTAGTAAAATGTTAACAAGTAACAATAATAACAAAACGTAATCACAAAGCCCTTAGACAAGGTCTTGAATGGCGACCAGGTGTATGGGGCCAGACTGTGGGTTGATGCCATCTTTTTTATTTACAAGGATGATTAGGTGATACCTTTGGTCAGATGATCTTCAGGAAGGATGAAATTGAGTTTATTTATAGATCATAAAGACCTGTTGATAATGACTAATAAAAGGAAAGACAGAAGCATACTTTAAACATATTACTGCTACATCCGTAAAGGAAATGGAATTGTAATAAAAATGGCAGTTGTGTCACAATGTAATATGCAATCAAAAACTATATAGATATTATCACTTTTACATATTTAAATTATAAATGTTTATAGTTTATGATGTATAACTGTATTATATTAGGTGTAGAATATAAATGAAAAATTAAAGTGCAAATAGAGTAGGAGTCCTTTGTCTGATACTCTATAAAATGTTTTTTTGTTGTTGTTAGGGGAAAGGTTAAGCTATAGTAACAAAGACCCTCCTTCACCCCCACAAAAAAATTCAGTACCTTAAGTAAGATAAAAGTTTGTGTATCTCCTACATAATAATCCAGATATAAGTAGTCCTGCTAGCTGAATGGCTCTTCTCCATGAAGTCATTCAGGGACCCAGATTTCTTCCATCCTGTTGCCCCACGTGTTGTCCTTATTTGAAAACTCAAAGCTGAGCCCCCACAACATCTGTGTTCCAGCCTGTAAGAAAGTAAAGAGACAACCTAGCATATTCTGACTTAGCTTTTAAGAAAATGACCTAGAATCTATACACATCACTTCTGCTTATACCTCGTCAATGCAAACTCAATGTCATGGCCACACCTAGTATACCAGTTTGTAGAGTTCCACAGCAAAGTACCACAGACTGGGTGACTTCAATAATAGAAATTTATTTTCTCACAAATCTAGAGGCTAGACGTTTGATATAAAAGTATTTGCAGGGTTTATTTTTTCTGAAGCCTCTCTCCTTGGCCTATAGATGTCTGTCTTCTTCCTTCATCTTCACATGGTCTTTCCTCTGTGTGTGTCTGTGTCCTAGTATCCTTATAAGAACACCAGTTATATTGGATTAGGACCCATGCTAATGACCGCATTTAATCTTAATTACCTCTTTAAAGACCCTATCTCCAAATACAGTCACATTCTAAGGGAATGGGGATCAGGACTTCAACATGTGAATTTTGTGGGGACACAATTCAGTCCATAAAACCTAACATCAAAGGAGGCTGAGAAATTAGTTAGTAGTTGAATGGTCACTTAGCTAGATAAAACTTCCATTCCATTGCTAAAAGGAGGAAGAGAAAAGTAAATATTGGGGAATATTTAGCAGCATCAGTCACATTACTATAGAATTAATAAGCCCAAGACCAAGTTTATATCAGGTAAAAACTCATCAACCAAAAAAAAAAAAATGGGAAGCATATGTAATTGATAACAAAACTCAAAAGCAATGAAAGGGGATTGAACAAAAGAGAATGGCAGAGAAAATCCCCAGGTCAGGGCTTTGGAGGAAGAAATTTCTTTCTGGGCCCCAGGAAAGAAATCCAGCTTCAATACAAAGCCCTGCTTAAAAGAAACTCAATTCCAGCAATAGTGAGACCATTTCAAGTATGAAGAGTGGGACTTAAAACAAATGTAACACCTGGATACATTTCTTAAGCATCAGGAGGCACAGGTCTCAGGATGTTAAGCCAGTCTCCTCTGATCACCACAAAAAGTGAATGTTATTTGAGTCATCCATAAAATGAATTTGACCAATTCTATTACATTACTCCCTTTCTAAATTAATGTTTGATCTTGCATACATGAGATGTTCCCAATCTAGAAATTTTTTAAAAGAGTTTTACTAAATGAAATTAAATCTCCGTGCTTTGTGTAAATTTGCCATATGAGCAAACTATAGTGATATGTTGTTTACAAAAATTATTGGGTGAACATAAGAGAATGAAAGATGGTAAATAAAACTCCTTTCCTTTGTTAATCAGAATATTTTCTAGCTAAATTTTAGTGTTTTCTTTTTGTTTCTTAATACATGCCCAAATGTGTTCAATAGATTTTTTAAAATTCCTCCACAAGGATAAATCTGAAGTATAATTCAGAAACCTGCGCATAACCTTCAATTTCTTTTCCCAAGTCCCATGGCAATTCTATACCGTGAAACCATAAACATGTGAGCCCAGTTACAAATTGTTAATTTGTGAAATTTATTTGGATGGATATTTGACAGTTTCTTCCTGCTGTGACTCATGTTTGAGTACATGCCAGGAGCACCCTTTGCCTTTTACTTTACACATACAGAAAGAAAATGGGAGCATAAGGCACTTTTCCTAAGAAATATTGTGATTAAAAAATAGTTATACAGCAAAAAAACAGTCGCAAACACATAGTATCATTCATTGCTAATGAGTTAAAAGGATACCACGGTGCACATATAAATCACTATACAGTATCTTGCAGTTTATTTAAATTTATTGTGCCTCATTATAACTGAGCTATGCACCTTTAGGTCTGAGTTGATTAGGAATGCGATAGCTCAGAATAGCTTTTAATTCAGAGAAACATGGCCTGACCTTTACCATAATCCTGTGTGAAACACACTATAGTTTAGACATTAATAATGATGCAACCTTTTTTTCATACCGGTGAGATGCTACTTAAAATTTGGTATTATTAGTTAACAGGCCCAGGCCAATACATCAAAACCAAATTACCCTTCTGTGTATAACTACAGTACTTAATTCTGAGTTCTTCATCTCTCATAACTATTACTTCCTCTTTAAAAATGCTAAAAACCAAAATGTAATAGTGTCATGTCATAGCAATAAGTCACAGATACAAACCAAAGGCACTGCTCCTCACTCCCCATGGACTGCCACTGTATGCCGTTAAGGATTTGTGCTTCATGATATACGTTTTAACAGCGAAGGCACTGCTTGTCTTTGACCTTTGTCTCTCAATTTAAGAATGCCATTTCTTTAAACCACCTTCCAGTAAGTCAACTAGCACAAATAATAGAATTTCCTTACCATTCTGGTTCACATGCAGTTGAAAATGCAAATCGTGGTTACAAATATTCAGTTTTTTTTAAAAAGTTATTTATATCATTTATCACTATAAATACAGCAAATACAGCAAATAATAAAGACATTTACAGAGTTTAATGGATCTAATAATTCACCAAGGCTCATAATAGAAAACAGCATTATCCTATGCCACCCATTCTCACCCCTTTTCACTCTTGCTTGTCATTCCCCAGAGGAAACTCATTTTGGTTCTCTTCAATGTTTCCCCTGATATTTACCTTATATTCCCAAATAACAAGTTTATATTATTAAATCTCAATTTTTAAATTTTGGATATTATATATTGACTTTCTATAATAAGAAAAATAAGATATAGCCCTTTTGGAACACTGTTGCTTCAAAACTTAAGATTTCCCTTTGTTATCATTCCTGGGGATTTCCTCTGCCATTCTCCCGTGTTTGATCACCTTTCACAGAATCCCTTTCTTTGAGTTAGAATTTCCCTCATCTCTGAAAAACAGAAAAACAACACAAAGGATTAAATGAAATACGAGTCTACTTATCATGGACAAAAGAATGGTCCTGAAGTGGAATGGAAACTATGTTGTTAGGAAATAAGGACCCTCAGATTGCATTGCTTTGCCATGCTTGCTTTTTATTTTCTGGGACACTAGGTTGTGATACACGATGGCTGATGGAGCTTCAGCCATTATGTGTACACTACAGAAAAGAAAGAAGAAAAGCAAATCAAACTCACTACCTCCACTCAAATTCCATAAGTGGAACTTATTCAAATGGCCATGCCTACCTTCAAGGAGCGTGATAGGAAATTTGTCTTTATTTCAGTTATTCTGTTGCTAAGAAAGGAGAGTGGGCAATATTGTGAGATAGTGCACCATACTATATCATCTTTCTAGATTATTTTAGTGCAGCATATATTGAAAGAGCTTTGGGAGAAAAGGTAAGCTAGAGATATATTTCTTGAAGCATTGCCTCTCTTAAAATGTCTTTATTTTCACACTCACATCTGATTGAAAGATTGGCTGGGATTTAAAACCAGATTGTACATGTTTTGTAGAATTTTAAAAGGTATTTCATTGTCTTCTAGCTTCCAAAGTTTATTGCGGGAAGTCCAAGTCTGTTCTGATTCTTAATTCTTTCTTTGTGATCCGTTTGTACCCCTGTCTATGGGCTTTTAGTATAATCTCTTAACTTCAGTATTCTACAGTGCCACAATAACATGTGTTATGTGGGTTTTGTTCCATTCATTCCTTATACTCAGCACTGGGAGGGTCTTTCAATCTCGAAATTAAAGTCCTCCCCCTCCCCCACTCCTTTCTGGGAAATGTTTTTACCTTATTTCTTTGACATTTTTCTCACTCCTTTTTGTCTTCTTTCTCTCCTTTTGGAAGCTGGACTCTAGAATTGATCAAAATGAATTGTATTGTGTTGCAGTAGAAAACCATCCCAAATATCAGTAGTTTAATACAGCAGATGTTTATTTCTCACTGATACTATGAGTCTAAGAGACTAGCTAAGTACTCAGCTCCACATCATTCTTACTCAGAGGCTAGGGGAACTGAGTCTCCACCCTCCGAAGGATCTCAGGACTGAAGTAGGGGAAAGGCAACATGGCAAGCCACACTCTGGCTATTCAAAACTTCCACCCAGAAAGAACTCATATCACTTTTACTCACATTTTATCAGTCACAGAAGGTCACAGGCCCATGCTGATCTGCAAAAAAGGGAGGAGGTGCAGTCACACTAGGTCCCTGAAAGAGGGACAGTCAGAATCTTGGTTAACAGCCTCGAGAACTGTAACAATTTCCTGGAAGGATACTCTAATTTACTTTTTATTTTCTCTCTTTTTCTTATTATGGCGAATCAGTTTATAAGCAGTGAACTGCATACAACTTAACTATATATCTTGATAAATGTTTGCATATGTAAACACTGTGTACCATAATACAAATCAAAATAAAAAATATTTCCAACACCTCAAAGACTTCCTGCTGCCTTCTCTCAGTCAACATCTTCATAGGTAACCAATAATTTGACCTCTATAATCAAAGATTAATTATGCCTGTTTTTGAACAACATACAAATAGAATCATGTGTTATGTACTTTTCTGTGCCTGACTTTTTTCATTCAGCCATATATCTGTGAGATTCATCATTAATATTGCAAATAACAGAATGGTTTTCTTTATAATAGTGTAGCAATTTGATTATATGAATACAGCCCTCTTCATCCATTGAACTGTTGTTGGGCATTTAGGTTATTTCTTGGGCTATTATGAATCAAACTGCTATAAACTTTACCGTATATGTCTTTTGGTGAATATATGCCCTCATTTTCACTGCCTTTTCATCCAGGGTGGATCATAGGGCATTTAGGTATAGGAGTACTATCAGTTTTCCAAAGCAATTGTACCAATTTGTACACCTACCAGCAATATGTGAGAATTCTGTGCCTCCCTTTCTCCTCCTTGATGCTTTCATTTTCATATTCTGGCAAGCGTGTAGTGATATACCACTGTGGCTTTAAATTTCATTTCCTTCAGGACTAATGAAGTTGAGCAATTTTTCATAGGCCTACTAGCTAGTAGTTATCAAGGAAATGACTCTAAGTGGGAAGGGGCTTATCAGCTGAAGAGCCTCAGTGTGTAGGATTACTGAAGAGAGAACAATATTTAAATAGCTCTCCTCTTGGTTCTTCCAGTTTCCCCTGAGGAACCTTCCAGTCTATACTCTAGGAGATATAAACCTAGGAGTTGAGTACAGATCCACCATGTTCAAACGTGCCCATTGTTCCTGAACCCAGAGTCCTTCGAGTTTGTCCTCCCAGAAAAATAAACATCCAGACATCTGCTGGAGTTGAGGAGGGAGTCTTCTGCTGGTGGTTTGGAGTGCAGGTAGAGTAAGTGGCTTAATTGCTTTGTGTTACCAACTTTCAACATTCTTCCTGCTTTTGCCCATCACCATCATATCCCAAATGCAGCTGCTGCCAATCCCCAAATCCTTGGAATAAATCAAATTATTTGTTGATTGATCCTCAGCATGAAATCAGAACTAAAATTCAGATTTTTCTAGTCTTAGTGAGTTGCCACTTGTCCATTTTACATATACTTTAAAATATTATGTTGATCTTTATTACACGCTATTTTCTGTCCTCTCACTCTTGACTATTTTCTTTTGCCTTACATGTTTTTTAATATTTTTTTATTCATGCCATCATTTTAGTGGTATTTGAGTAAAAAAACATGTTTTCTACATTCATTGTCTAATTTGGATTCATTCTTGCCTCTCTTTGGCACAAGATAAATTACATTCTAGAAGCAAAACAAAGCAACAAATGAGCTGTTTCTCTTAAATTGAAAGTGAAAAATAATTAATCTTCTTCCCTAAAGTTCAACAAGTCTTAGTTTATCTATTTTTTCTTTCACATTCATAAAGCAATTTATATAGGTTTTGAGAAAACCAACTCTCAAATTCACTAAATTAAAAATATGACTTTTCAAATGAAAAGTTGGCAAGATATTAAATAGATTATATTGAAAAAAATCATCATTTTTCTAAACTGCTAAAAATATCATTTTCCTAAGTCTCTTCAAATTTGGAGAGTGGTCCTTAAAATTTCTTTTTTAAAAATAGATTGTGTTATTTATTGCCATTAGATTAAATAAGCCCGTCTAGCTGGTCAGGCGATTTTCTCCTTTCACCACTACTCCATGTTTTATCCCTTCTGAGAATGTGCCCTTAAATGGAAATTTCCCTCTACAAATCGACAAGAAAATGTCTTAAGACTAATATCAAATAATAGCTGAATTCTCCAACTAGCACCACCAAACAACCATTTGAGATCCATTTTTTATTAAGATACAAATATAAAACAGAAAAAAATAATATAAAGCCAGTGGAAATACCATGTATTATTTAAGCCATGGTTTTCAAATAGAGTAAGAGGGTAAGAGGAAGGCTGATAGAGAAATTCATTGGCTACTTATAAAAAAAATTCTGTCATTTCAGAAATGTATGCCACTACTTCCTCTTTCAGCCACCTCATTATATGAAAAAAAATTAGTTGCAAATAAGTAACTTCTTCAGATTACACAACCATTTGAACCAGAGTAAAAATAATCTTTTCTAGAAATCCCAGCCAAGTGTATTAGTTTTGTTTTTTCCATTTATGAACTATGAACATTTAACATCAATTTTTTCCTCTTTTTCAATTGCTTTGACTAGTCCTCCCAGAAAAATGTTAAATAGCAGTAATTTGGATAGCTATGTCTTGTACTTGACTTAATAGAAATGTTTCTTGTATTACCGTATCAGTCATAATTCTGAGTTTTGGGTTGAGATGTACATGTTTTACATGCTATCAACTTACTATTACTTTTTTAAGAACAGATACACTAAAAAGCCCAGACTTCACCACTACACAATATAGCCATTTAACAAAACTGTACTTATATCCCTTAAGTTTATATAAATAAAAAGTAAAGAACAAATAAAGAATAATTTTAATTAATAATTGATGCTGAATTTTTAGCATCTATGAAAAATGATAACATGATTCATCTTCATATGTTAAATTATATTAATGGAATTTCTACTCTTAAACCATCTTTGTATTTCTGCTGTGGATCCCAGATGGCTGTGTTTTAGTATATTTTTAACATGCTTCTGTATTCTATTTGCTAATACTTTATTAAGGCTATTTTAATTGACATTTATTATTCCATTATATTATTTTCTGTGCTATTTTTTGGGTTTTCTTATCAAGGCTTTGCAGACTTTGTCAAAGAAATTTGAAGTACTATTTACTTTAAGTCTATTTGGAAGATTTTGTTTATTTTTTTGAGATAAAAATTCTATATATTTTTTATTTTTTTAAATTTCCATAGGTTATTGGGAAAAAGGTGGTGTTTGGCTACATGAGTAAGTTCTTTAGTGGTGATTTGTGAGGTTTTGGTGCACCCATCACCTGAGCAGTATACACTACACTCAATTTGTAGTCTTTTATACCTCACTCCCTTCCCACCTTTCCCCCGAGTTCCCAAAGTCCATTGTGTTATTCTTATGCCTTCACATCCTCATAGCTCAGCTCCCACATATGAGCGAGGACATAAGATGTTTGGTTTTCCATTCCTGAGTTACTTCACCTAGAATAATAGTCTCCAATCTCATCCAGGTTGCTGCAAATGCCATTAATTCATTCCTTTTTATGGCCAAGTAGTGGTCCATCATATATGAATAGCAGCTTCTTTATCCACTCACTGATGATGGGCATTTGGGTTGGTTCCACATTTTTGTAATTGCGAATTGTGCTGCTATAAACATGTGTGTGCAAGTATCTTTTTTGTATAACAACTTCATTTCTTCTGGGTAAATATCCAGTGGTGGGATTACTGGATCAAATGGTAGTTCTACTTTTAGTTCTTTAAGGAATCTCCACATGGTTTTCTATGGTGGTTATACCATTGCCACCAGCAGTGTAAAGTGTTCCCTGTTCACTGCATCCACACCAACATCTACTATTTTTTTTATTATGGCCATTCTTGTGGGAGTAGAATGATATCATACTGTGGTTTTGATTTGCATTTCCCTGATCATTAGTGATATTGAGCATTTTTTCATAAGTTTGTTGGCCATTTGTATATCTTCTTTTGAGAATTGTCTATTCATGTCCTTAGCCCACTTTTTAATAGGATTGTTTGTTTTTTCTTGCTAATTTGTTTGAGTTCATTGTAGATTCTGGATATTAGTCTTTGGTGAGATGTATAGGTTTTGAAGATTTTCTCCCACTCTGTGGGCTGTATGTTTACTTGACTGTTTCTTTTGCTGTGCAAAAGCGCTTTAGTTTAATTAAGTCCCCTTATCTTTGTTTTCATTGCATTTGCTTTTGGATTCTTGATCATCAAATCCTTGCCTAAGCCAATGTCTACAAAGGTTTTTTGGCTGGGCGCAGTGGCTCACGCCTATAATCACAGCACTTAGGGAGGCCGAGATGGGTGGATCACGAGGTCAGGAGATCGAGTTCATGCTGGCTAACACAGTGAAACCCCATCTCTACTAAAAATACAAAAAATTAGCCAGGTATGGTGGCGTGTGCCTGTAGTCCCAGCTACTTGGGAGGCTGAGGCAGGAGAACCGGGGAAGCAGAGCTTGCAGTGAGCAGAGATAGCACCACTGAGCTCCAGTCTGGGCGACAGAGTGAGACTCTGTCTCAAAAAATAAAATAAAATAAAAAATAAAATAAAATAAAATAGAAAAGAAAAGAAAGAAAGGTTTTTCTGATGTTATCTTATAGAATCCACCATGATCAAGGGGGTTTCATACCAGGGATGCAGGGATGGTTTAACATATGCAAGTCAATAAATGTGATACACCACATAAACAGAATTAAAAACAAAAATCACTTTATCATGTCAATAGATACAGTAAAAGCATTCAACAAAATCCAGTATTCTTTTGTGGTTAAAACTCTCAGCAAAATTGGCATACAAGGGACATACCTCAATATAATAAAAGCCATCTATGACAACCCCACAGCCAACATAATACTGAGTGGGGAAAAGTTGAAAGCATTCTCTCTGATAACTGGAACAAGAGAAGGATGTCCACTTTCACCACTTCTCTTCAACATACTGGAAGTCCTAGCCAGAGCAATCAGACAAGAGAAAGAAATAAAGGGCATCCAAATCGGTAAAGAGGAAGTCAAACTGTCACTGTTTGCTGATGATATGATATCTACAAAACCCTAAAAAATCCTCCAAAAGCTCCTAGAACTATAAAATAATTCAGCAAAGTTTCCGGATACAAAACTAATGTACACGAATCAGTAGTTCTGCTATACAACAACAGTGACCAAGCTGAGAATCACATCAAGAACTCAACACCTTTACAATAGCTGCAAAAAAATAAAATAAAATACTTAGGAATATACCTAGCCAAGGAGGTAGAAAACCTCTACAAGGAAAACTACAAAACACTGCTGAAAGAAACCACAGATGACACAAACAAATGGAAACACACCCCATGCTCATGGGTGGGTAGAATCAATATTGTGAAAATGACCATACTGCCAAAATAAATCTACAAATTCAATGCAATTCCCATCAAAATACCATGATCATTCTTCATAGAACTAGAAAAAACTGTTCCGAAATTCATGTGGACCCCAAAAAGAGCCCTAATGCCAATGCAAGACTAAGCAAAAAGAACAAATCTGGTGGCATAACATTCCCTGATTTCAAACTATACTATAAGGCCGTAATCACCAAAACAGCATGCTACTGGTATAAAAATAGGCACATAGACCAATGGAACAGAATAGAGAACCCAGAAATAAACCCAAATACTTAACAGCCAACTGATCTTTGGCAAAGCAAACAAAAACATAAAGTGGAGATGGACACCCTATTCAACAAATGGTGCTGGGATAACTGGCAAGCTACATATAGAAGAATGAAACTGGATCCTCATCTCTCACCTTATACAAAAATCAACTCAAGATGGATCAAGGACTTAAATCTAAAACCTGGAACTATAAAAATTCTGGAAGATTTTAAATAGTGAAGAAAATATATGTTACTTTAAGTTTTGGTAGAATAAATCTGTAGGAATATCTTGGTGTGATGCTTTTGGGGTGGGAGTAGCTCTTTGAAAGTGTTGTCTCCAATCTTATATAATTTCCCTTTTTGAGTTTTAAGTCTTTTTTGCTATAAATTTTGAAAACTTTTATTTTCCCAGAAAATTTTATTTTCCCAGAAAATCATCCAGATACAGAAATATATCAGTATAGAATTAAGCGAAATCCCTTATTATTTTGTCATCATCACTCCTTATTTTGTTTTGAGATTTTCTTTTATTATATATTAAGTTCATGTGTATATTCATTTAATTAACAAATATATATCTGCATGAACCAGAAACTGTTTAAGTAGCTAGAATACAATGATGAATAAAAGAACGTGGGGAAAAAGGGAGAGAAATACCATATTTTTCTGTGTGTGTGTGTATCTGTGTGTGTGTAACTTGTGTGGGATAAATAATTAACATATATTTGCAATGTTTTACATATAGTTTCTAAATTTTCTCAAATGAATTTGAATGTCATCAAAATCTATTGTACTGTTTGGGGAAGGGAGTATAGACAGGAGAAGTATGAAGCTGAGACAATTTCTTCTAATTAAGAAACCAAGTCTCTCAGTGTCAAATAGTGTAAATGTTTAATACTAATACAGTTTGAATAGATGCTCCCCACCAAATCTCATGTTGAATTCTAATCCCTAATGTTGGAGGCAGGCCTAGTGGGAGGTATTTTGGTCATGGGTACTGATCCCTCACAGCCTCGTGCTGTCCTCATGATAGTGAGGGAGTTATTGTGAAATCTGGTTGTTTAAAAGTGTGTGGCACTTCCCTCCACCTTTCTCTTGCTTCTACTTTCACCGTGTGAATGGCTTCATCCTGCTTTACCTTCCAACATGAGTATAATCTCCCTGAGGCTTTCCCCAGAAGCCAAGCAAATGCCAGCACTATGCTTGTACAGCCTGCAGAACTATGAGTCAATTAAAACTCTTTTCTTTATGAATTACCCAGTATCAGGTATTTCTTTATAGCAATGCAAGAATGGCCTAATACACCTATCTTTGATATTTTTCTCTGGAAGATACCTATCAGGTGCATCCTCCCTCATAGAAAATATTAAAGATATTTTCTGATATGACTTCTGGTCCTTCTGTGGTTTCTAGAGTTTTGGTATTTGATTCAGTCCCTGAGTACAGATGCTGGCACCTGCTAAAATACCACTGATCCTGCTTATTGTTGAGAATTTGTGCTGTTATCCTCTGCTGAAATCTGCTGATTAGAGTTGATGAGTTCTGCATAATAAGGGTGTGTGCTTTGGAGATGGAGTTGGGGATTGTAATCTCAATTAGTCTACCTCTTTGCTAATCTGACTCTATTTCATTTCCCTCTGGTGCTCTCAGGTCCCCTGAGTCCTACCTATGTCACCCACCAAACCTTCATCCTCATCCCTCTACTTATAGCTTTTACAACATAGTCTACCTTTTTCTTTCAAAAAACGTATAGATCTCTGAAGCATCTGTAATAAGCCTATGTCACTCAAAATGCCATTACTTCCATCTAACTCCCCCAATTTATTGAAGATGTCTTTATTTGGTAAACTATCTAAATCTTTCGTTCTAGTTCCATCATTAGTTATGGCAAATTCAGGATCCACAGGCATAACCCATCTCTTATTTGTCTACTATGTCAGAAATTTTGATCTGTGAAATGTCACTCTCCTCATTGCAATAAATGTTTTATACCATTGCACTATTTCTAGGTCTTGTTGATTCTGCCTTGTGTATTTTGTCTACTCAAAGACTTATTTCTGAAAATATCGATCATCCATATTTATATGTCTACATATGCTTCATTCATTTTCACTATTTTATGGAATTTTATCATACAAATATATGTACAATGTTGTATGTGTCCCTTGTCCCTTATCCTGATAGTGTACCTATGTATTGTGAAAAAGAAATCACTTCCAAATTCTTTAGTTGGGACTATTAATCAGATGTTTCCCCTAATTATATACACAAGTTAAGTGTCATATTTTTCCTCCTTTGTTTCCTATTTCCCTTTCTTTGCATAATATAATGTTGAAATTGTCCAAAGTCTTTAGTTTTTGTACATTTAAAACATAGAGATTTCCCTTTGATCTGCATTCACAGTCACCAAGCAACAATGTTATTATTTTGACTCACACATATTGGCCTTCAAACAGAGAACTAACTTTGGGGCTCATGAAACTATCCAAAACATTTTTCTCATTAAAAATTAAGAGACATTCTAGAGAGGCTTGTTTCTGATAAAGATGATGTAACAGGGACTGGATTTACTCCATATGAAATGACAAAATTATAGACAAAATGTATGAAGTAATGGCACTTAAGACATCAGAATTCAGGTCAAAAAGAACAGTGAATTGTAAAAGATTATGAAAAGTGGAGATAAGCTCTATATTCCCCTCACTTATTGCCTGAAAAAAGTTTCCAGGCTGCAACTTCAAGGAGATAAATATGCATGTAACTGGAATCTCTCAAACAATGCATAGAAAGTTAAAGGGTGGAAAAAATAAGTAAAGTAATAATGGCTGAAATTTTTCTAAACGTGATGAAACTTATAAAGCACTAGGCTAAAATGCTTAGCTAATCCCAAGTACATTAAAAACGAAAAGAAAACTACACTGAAACTCATCATCTTCAAATTGCTTAAAACCAGTGATAAAGAGAAAAATCTTAAAAATAGCGATAGCAAAAGACACACTACATATAGAAAAACAAAGATAAGGATTGTAACATATTTCTGGTCAGAAACAAAAGACACTGGAACATCTTTAAGTACAGGGCAGGGAAAGGAGGTGAAATTTGGCCTGTAATTTTTTTAACCAGTCAAAATATCTTTCAAAGATGAAGGTGAAAGAATGACTTTTTCAGATATATAATATTTGTAAAAAGCTCTTCATTACAGATCTGCACTGTAAGAAATATTTTAAAAAGTCCTTTAAACAGAAGAAAATGTGAAATTGAAATCTAAATCAACATAAAAAAATGACATCAACAGAAATGGTAACTGGATATATATAAAGACTTTTTCAAGTATTTAAATTTCCCTTCGATAAGAATTGACTCTTTAAATAAAAAATCGGAACAATGCATTTGGGTTTTAATAACATATGTAGATATAAAATGAATAACAACAATAGCACAAAGTCCAGGAGAGGAAAAATGAATGTATATTCTTTTAAGGTTTTATTTTCTATACATAAAATACTGCAATATTACTTGGAGGTAGAATATGATAAGCTAAAGATGAACACAATAAATATTAAAGCAATCACTAAAATATACAATCAATAGTGCTAAAACTGTTTGTTGTGTTGAGTGATTATTTTAGTATAGTCAGTAAATAAAATATTGGTTTACTGAAATAAGCCAAAAAGAGGATAAAATAAATCAGAGAAGATACTTAATGCAAAATAAGACAGAAAACAAGGAAAGAAAAAACAAAGAACATATGGGACAAATAGAAAATAAATAAAAATATAATAAATTAAAACTCAATCATATCACTAGTCATGTTAAATATAAATACTATTAAAAGCCCATTCAAAAGGCGGAAATTATAAGATTGGATAAAAAGACATGACCCAGCTATATGATACCTGCAAAAACTGTACTTCTGGGAGTTCCACTCCTGGGATGGGAGCATGAGGAGTGCTGTAGACTGCTCCCCAGCTAAACAAGTGAAGTTGGCAAAAACTATTTTTAAAAAGTATTTAAATTATCAGGAAATTGTCCTACGAGCTTATGGCAAATCAAGAAACATTTATCCAATAAAATCTATAAAACTGTAATTTTATAGATTTTAAATATGTTCCCATTTTTTAGCCACAATGCACTTTCTCCATATCCCCCTATCTGACTTGCCCCATATCAGTTTCTATGAAACCCCACTCTGGGCAGGTATGGCTAAGAAGAAAGAGCTCCATCTCCTCTCAGTTCTTAATCAAAGATTATCCTATCGCACTGGGAGGGCCAGGCAGACAGTATTTCTCACCTCAGTCAGCTGCACGTTGAGTTGCTCAGGGCAGATAAGAGGATGAAGACTCCCTTCCTCCTCCCAGGCCCCCAACCCATAAGACAGAAGCTCTACCCTAAGAATTGCATACCAAGAAATCCTGGGGACCTGATCACCCTCACCCACCTCCTTTGTAGAGCAGAAGCTGCATGCAAGGAATACAAGTCAAGAAGACCAGAGGCTTCCACCAGTGCCCAGAGTAGTGGCTTAGATAATTTTATCAGGGGAAAAAGCAGTCCATAAAAAAATAGAGTGCCCCAAAGGAACTGATTTTATTTGAAATGGCATGAGGAAAGTTAGGCTAAAGGGTACTGTTGATAACAACAGATTCTCTTAACTAAGAGCAATAAGCTTAATCGTAGACCAGCCAGTTCACCAGGAGAAACAAGGAAAACTAAGAAAAGCAAAGCTCAAAGACTGGCCTCAAAAACTACCTCTGCCAGAATTTAATTGGATCAAACTACCAAGCAATTTATATTCCAGGACATTATCAAAAACAATGAAATAATCAGCCTGTAATTAGTGGAGAATGAGTACTGGGCATAATACCACATGAGTCAGACACCTTAAAAAAAGACATAGAGCAAGCAATAAAACAGTAGAAGAAAGACCCATGAAAACCACTGTCTTAGCTTGTGCAAAACCCCAAGACTGCACCTTCTGAGTAGCAACACCAAAGGCTTCACATTGTGGGGGATCTAGACTTTACTACATTAGTCTAATGAATTAATAAAACAAATAAACAAGAAAACAAGAATTGAAACCAGCCCCAAAGAGAAGGAAGCAAATCAGTGTCTACAGTTGCTACATTACCTAAGATGTCCAAGTTTTAACAAAAATGTATGAGATATGAAAAGAAACAAAATTGTACGTACATATTAGTATTGACAGCTATGCAGTCTAAAGAATAGAGAAAAATAGAATAAAGACAAATGAATAGAATCTCAGAGAAATGGAGGACTCATTAAAGGAGCACTAGCACACACATAGTGGGAAGAGCAGAAGGAGAAGAGAGAAAGAAAAGGGAGCAGAAAAATATTTGAAGAAATAATGGCTGAATATTTCTCAAATTGCCTGAAAAACATTAATCTACACATAAAAGAAACTCAACAAAATCCAAATAGAAAATTTGAAAGCAGCAAGCAAAACAATGATTCATCATATATAAGGGAACCCCAATAAAATTAACAGCTGACTTCTAATCAAAAAACATGAAGGCCAAAAGGCAATAGGATGATATATTCAAGTGCTGAAAGAAAAATAAAATTTCCACTAAGAATCTTAGATCCTGGCTTGGTGCGGTGACTCACGCCTGTAATCCCAGCACTTTGGGAGGCCGAGGTGGGCGGATCACCTGAGGTCAGCAGTTTAAAACCAGCCTGCTCAACATGGTGAAACCCTGTCTCTACTAAAAATACAAAAATTAGCTGGGTGTGGTGGTACACACCTGTAGTCCCAGCTACTTGGGAGCCTGAAGCAGGAGAATCGCTTGAACCCAAGAGGCAGAGGTTTGCAATGTGGCAAAATCGTGCCATTGCACTCCAGCCTGGGTGACAGAGCGAGACTCTATCTCAAAAAAAACAAAAAAATCTTAAATCCAGCAATACTGTCATTCAAAGCTTAAGACTGAAGATGAAATAAAGACATTCAGGTAAACAAAATCGGAGAGAATTCATTGTTAGTAGAACCACTTTATAAGAAATACTAATGAAAGTTCTTCAGACTGAGAACAAGTAACCCTGGGTAGAGGTTCAAATCCATGCAAAAAACAAAGTGCACCAGTAAAGGTAATTATATAATTATAAAAGACAGTATAAATCCATATTTATTCTTCTTATTCTCTTAATTGATTTTAAGCTATTGTATATGTGTATATAATTATATATATAATTGTGTATACACAAATAAAATTGCATGTACATAGCATATGTTTATAAACTGTATAGTGTAAAACTACGTTTTAAATTTATAAAAATTGATAAAAAATTTTTAAATGTAAATTTTAAGAAAAGTAAGCTAAGCTTGTTTACTTTGTTTTTAAAGAAGGGTTGACTAAAAAAGTAGGAAAAATTATTTAAAAAGCAGGAGGAAAAATTATTCTTGTACATGCATGGGTTAGTCAGTTTGAGCTACTATAACAAAGTATTATGCATGGGGTGGTGTAAAAATAAGAGAAATTTATTTAACACAGTTCTGAAGACTAGGAAATTCAAGATTAAGGCACCAGCAGATTTGGTGTCTGGTAAGAGTCCATTTTCTGGTTCATGGAAGGCATCGTCTCACTGAGTCATTATATAGTACAAGGAGCAAACGAGATCCCCTGGGCCTCTTTTATGAGGGCAGTATGAGGGATTCACCTCCCAAGGTCTCACCTCAATACCATACCTTAGGCATTAGGATCTCAGTATATGAATTTTGGGATGACACAAAGACTCAGACCATAGTAATACTGTATGACACATACTACATCTTGTTAGATGTTATAGACTTTGTATTTAACTGCTAAACATAAGGCAAAAACAAATTATGATTTAAAAAATAATAATAATAAAGATTTTTCTACCCGCACTATTGGCTTGCATTAGATTGATATATTTTGTGAGAAAGGGAAATAACACACAAACAATCAACTAATAAAATGGCCCAAAAGAAATCCAAAAGAAAATATTCTCTTCTAAAAAAAGTGTTTACAATTATTACTGGATTGACATCTTTACAATTTGCTGATTATACTAATGTATCATGAACTATATATACAATAATTACGATGCAGAAGTTCCCTAAAACCTGAAAAATATTAGTTTTTTATCCTAAGGTTTATGGATTTTCTGTAACCTGAGGAATGCAACTGAGTATTTTTAATATGTATGATTTAATTGGTGTTAAATAATTCTCTCTTTTTTGTCAGGAAATATTTCATTGCATCTTCATCTTTGAAGGATAGTTGCACTCATTTATAAAATTTCAAGTAGTTAGTTGTCTTCTTTCAACACTTAAAAGATGTATTTCCATTGTTTTCTGGTTTTCTTCACTTCTGCTGAAAAGGAAGTCCTGGCCGGGGATGGTGGCTCATGCCTGTAATACTTGACTTTGGGAAGCCAAGGCAGGATGATCACTTGAGGCCAGGAGTTCAAGACCAGCCTGGACAACATAGCAAGACCCCTGTGTACAAAAAAAATTATTTTAAATTAGCCAAGCATGGTGGCATGCACCTGTATTCCTAGCTAGTTGGGAGGCCAAGGAGAGAGGATCCCTTGAGCCCAGAAATTTGATGCTGCAGTCAGCTATATCATGCCACTGGGCCACAGAGAAAGACCCTATCTCTAAAAATAAAAAAGCAATTCTTAGTTTTGCTCCTGTGAAGTTTATGTGTTTTTTCTTTCGGTCTGCTATCAAGAGTGTTCTTCCTTGTCTTTGCCTTTCAATGTGTTTTAGTGTGATGGGCTTAGCATCTGTTTTTATATCTTTAAATATTTCATCTGCCACATCCTGTTCTCTTCTTACAGGACTCCAGTTAAATATATGTTAGATATTCCAACCATGTCCTGTTGTTTCTTCCTGTTTCCTGGTTTTTCAGTAATTTTCCCCTCTGTTCTTCATCCTGGATAACAACAACTGACATTTCAGCTGACACTAGCCATCTTTTGTGACATGTTCATTTTATGTTAAACACAAAAATTGAGTTATTAAATTCAGTTGTTTTATATTTCAGGTCTATAACTTTTTATTCCTTTTATATGGGTATCTGTTTTCTTTTTAGATCAGTCAGGAGCTATGCTGACCCAAGGTTAGGTTGCAGTTTTTTTAAGGTTGATTCTCTACTTTTGATTCATTCAAATTCCTTTCACCAGTCCCACTGCCAACTTTTTTTTATAAGCTCTAATCACATCATGCCAGAATTATTGCAATACTTTCAAGACTCAAGACTTGCTTCTTCCAATTTGCCTCACTGTGCAGAATACTCTTTAGACAAGGCAAATCTAATCATGTCATCCCCTAATTAAAATGCCATAAGGGCTCCACGTTGCTTATAATATTGCAACTAGGACATAACCCTTCAGGTCCAAAAGCATGGGTCATTTAGTAAGGCCCTTCTTCCTTGGCAATTCCTAATCTATATAATTTTTTGTCTTCTCAGCATTTTGAAGTTTCCAAAAACTTCCCTCTGCTTTTTAGAATCTTTATGCTTACCTCTTAGCTTGAGGAATTTAAGAATTCATCAATTACCTCAAGAGAGAAGATTAATGAGCACTGGACATTTTTTTGTACTTGCCATTTATCCAGGATCATGCTCTCTCAAGTCCTGATTGCTTTGGCAGCCCTGAGCTCTATTGTGTTGTGTTTCCAGATATGGGATTATCAAAAACTCAAATTTTCTGCTTGTCACGGTATTCTCAGTCTTTTGCTTGACTCCAATCCCTCATCAGATTCTTGAAAGCTTCTTCACAAGAAAAATAGAACATCATCAATAATCAATTCACTCTGCCTTTCTTCTCCTCTAGTTTAACTTAACCATGCAGCAATTTATTTTTCATTACCCCTTGTCTTATCACATGCAGATAATATTTATTTATTATTTGTATATATGACTAAACACCTTTTGAAAATTGATAGACCTTGCCACAATAGTATCTCTAGAGACTACAGTTATCTCAATTCTTCATAAACACTTACAAATATATAAATACACATATACATATATACATACATACATATGGATGTTCTCTCACACACATACACTGTGATCTGAATCATAGTGTTAGTTCCAGCTTTTATCCATCAACTTTACCCATTTATATAAAATCCAATTGAATGTAGACTATGGTTGTTCTCTCCATACTCTTATGATTGACTTAGGTCCTCACTGTTCACCTGAAATTGCCCTCAGAAAAGTAATGAATAACCTTTTCATCACTAGATAAATGAGAATCTATATTTTTTTCACATTTTTAGTATCTTCTCAATGTCCACATGGTTAATCTTTATTCCTTTATGTATTCCCTAACATTTCCAAATTTCTGAGGATGTACTGAATCTCGGTTCTTTTCAAAGCAGTCAAAACCTCGTCACTCTTTCTTTCGATTATTCCTACTTCCCCTCTTTTGTTACAGAGCTACATAAAGTTCAAGTGAATGTTTTACAGATTCAAAACCTATTGAAGATCATTGCCATGTCTGAGTTGCTTTTGTATCTCAACAGTGTGTCGCAAATTGCAGATATTTATTAAATGAATTTAATTACATAACAAATATGACCTGCTAAAAAAAAAACCTGAGTGTCCTCTATGTACAACAAAATAGTAGTAGAATAAATAATTTCCACTTGGCAACAATCCGTATTAAATATTTAAAATCTCGAACTTGTGATAGTATAATCAGAAATAGGTTTTAGAAAAAATCAATTGAAGAATGGTATGTGGTTTAACTAAAATTAGAATGTTAAAAGGTATTTAATGTTTCTTTATCAACACTGAACTATTTCTTCAAAATGAGAAATTGCTACTAAATGTTGGTAACAATGACTTGCCAAGAAATAAGGAGACACCTATCTGGATGCTTTTCTGGTTATTTAAACATTATCTATTCAGTACTGAAATTATTGTCTTCCTCTTCCCACCCACAAGCCTGCTTTTCTTCTTTCTGTGTCTGCATCGGTGAATAATACCACAGTCCAGACAGTAGTCTGAGATGGAAACCTGAGAGTCATACTTGACTATGTTACATGCTTTACTACCTATAAACAGCAATCTCTATAAATTCTACTTCCAAAATACTCTTGACTCCATCTTCCTTTCCCTATTCTCACTTTTTTTATAAACTCCAATCATATCACACCAGAATTACTGCAATACTCTCAAGACTCAAGACTCACTTCTTCAGACCAGCCTGGGCAACATGGCAAAACCCGTCTCTACAAAAAATACAAAAATTAGTGTGGCATGGTGGCACAAACCTGTAATCCCCCCTACCTGGTAGGCTGAGGCAGGAGAATTGTTTGAACCTGGGCGGCAGGGGCTACAATGAGCTGAAATCACCCCACTGCACTCCAGCCTGGGCGACAAAGCGACTGTACCAAGTGCTCTTCAGAAAAGGCAATCTAACCATGTCATCCCCTAATTAAAATGCAATAAGAATCCACATAGTTTTCAATATTAACTTTAATATGTCTTACAAGGCTCTGCCTGATCCGCTTCTCTTTCCCTTTTCTGTATATTACTTGTTACTTCTCCACACTCAGTGTTTCAGATTTAGTGAACTTCAAGTTTTCTAAGCCAGTCATGGGCCCTCTAATCTCTGGGATTTTTACACATGCAGTTCCTTTGCCTGGAAGTCCTTTCCCTGCCTCTTCTCTGATTAATTTCTACACATTCTTCAAGTCTCAACTTACATGGAACACTCTTCAGAAAGCTTTCCCAGACTCTAATGTTGGAGATAGCTGCTTCACAAATTGTCTCATAAACAACCTGCCCTTACACATAACTTGGTATAATGCACTGTAATTTTCTGATCACTTATCTTTTCCTCACAATGGTCTTTAAATTTCCCAAAGAAATCATTTATTATAGTTACATACATGTGCTAGGTAATGTACATATTTTTATTCATAATCAAATTCATCAAATCACTTTAGACTCTCCAATATTATCTTAAGAATAATAATATAAAAGAAATATATTTCGTGTTACTTTTGTTTTCCTCAAATTACATATTTTTGTTTAATGTCTCAATCAAACTTTAAATTTATTGGTGAATTTATCAATTTTTATGCTCATTATTTCTTTTCGAATCTCATTCGTTAATTCTAGTTTGAGTTTTGTCTTCCTAAATAGCATCCTTTGCCATTCATAATATCTATTATGGTGCTTGATACATAATAAATGTAACAGGCATGTTTGGGCCATTCTCTTATTTGATGGCCTATCCTCCTGTGGCAATGATTCTAGCAAGAAGAGGCAGCTTCACTTGCCAGGTTTGTACAACCATGATCCTTCACTTCCCTTGTTTGGACCTGAACCATGGGCTGAGCAGATTAGATTCTTTCTTTGTGGAATTTGAATTGTGAGATACAAAGCCTAGGAGTCATTTATTTGGTGGTGGTCCTGAATCAGGAAAGTCATGTTTCTCAGAGAATGGGGTAGCTGTCCTGTTTGAGTCATGTATGCTGAAAAGCTAGTTAAGACAGGTTTACAGGGAAAATGAAAACAACAGAGGAAACACAAAGAGAACACCAGATGTAAGAGAATTATGTTCCCTCAAGAGAAAAAAAGAGATCAAATAGCTATTTTAGTAATGATGTCTTTGGCTTCGTGTCCCTACCTAAATCTCACTTGAATTGTACTCCCATAATTCCCAAGTGTTGTCGGAGGGACCTGGTGGGAGGAAGCTGAATCATGGGGACAGTTTCTCCCATACTGTACTCATGGTAGTAAATAAGTCTCACAAGATCTGATGGTTTCATAGGGGAAATCTGTTTCGCTTGGCTGTCATTCTCTCTCTTTCCGCTGCCATGTAAGAAGTGCCTTTCACGTTCCACCATGATTGTGAGGGCTCCCTAGCCATGTGGAATTGTGAGTCCATTAAACCTCTTTCTTTAGTAAATTGCCCAGTTTCAGGTATGTCTTTATCAGCAGCATGAAAATGGACTAATACTAGTAACTATTTTCCAGTTTCTAATTCTAGCACCTCTTGAAATCTAGATGTATTTCCTCCCCTTGGGTTCCGTGACATGCCCTCGTAGTTCTTTTCCTTAGACTCCTTAATTTAAACCAGCCTCTTTCTGGCATCCAAATGCTCCCTAAATGAATCTGTAGTTTAAACATATTTACTGAATAAACATGGGAAGGGAGGAAGGAAGGAAGGAAGGAAGGAAGGGAGGAAGGAAGGAAGGAAGGAAGGAAGGAAGGAAGGAAGGAAGGAAGGAAAAGGAAAGAAGGAAGGAAAAGGGAAAAAGCTAAGGAAAAAGAGGAGGAAGAAAGAGAAGTAAGAAGAAAGGTCCTTATTTCACAGGGCTTATTAAAATTTAATTGGGGAGCCAAAAATAAATGTACAGAAAAATATAGTTTCATAAAGCATAACTTTTATCTTTTTTGAAACAGAACTGTTATAAAACTTCCATACTATTAAATAGGTACATTATATTCTTCAAAATGAGTTAGTTAATTTTTGAGACAGAGCAGAGTTAAAGTATATGTTTGAATTTTGTACCATCAACACTAATGAGCTCAAAATGTAATTGTGGCACATGAAATAACTTTTTCACTTATTTTTCAAGCAGTCTTATTTTCTTTAAATAATTTTATACATTAAATATATTCTGTCAGTGAAACCTTCTCAGGAAATATATTCAAGGTAAGGGCCAAATTAACATTATAAACAAACAAACAAAAAACCTCTTAGTTCTTGAAAGTAAGTGCTTTTCCCAAGGAGTGGAATCAGACAACTTATTGAAGAAAATGGGATTTTAGTTATGTCTTAAATTATTTTTATTGGCAAAGATAGGTGAAGACCAAAACTCATATACACAAAAGCTAAAAAACTACAATGTCTAGGTGTGCTTTCCTTTTATTGAATTTTAAGATTTATGAGTTGGTATGAGATTGTGGAGAACCTTGGAAGCTAAATTCAGGAGTTTATTAGGCAATGAGGCAACTTTGAAATTTAAGAGGCAAGGAAGGATGAATGACACATGATAAAATATAGATTAGATGGAGAAGTCAGCAAATGATATAAGTAGAATAAATGAAAATTCTGAAATAATCCTATTAGGAATTTTTTGGACACATATTACCTCTTTGGGGATTATGACCCTTTCCTAGCACTAACTTAAACCCAGTAGCCAAGAGCTAGGCATAAAGCATTTCCCTGGAAAGGTATTTCTGACTGATATAGTTTGGCTGTGTCCCCACCTAAATCTCATCTTGAATTCCCACATGTTGTGGGAGGAACCTGGTGGGAGGAAATTGAATCATGGGGGCAGGTCTTTCCCATGCTGTTATCATGATAGTGAGTAAGACTCATGAGATCTGATGGTTATTATAATTGGGAGTTTTCCTGCACAAGCAGTTTTGGCTTGCTGTCATCTATGTAAGATGTAACTTGCTCCTCTTTGCCTCCCACCATGATTGTGAGACTTCCCCAGCCACGTGGAACTGTAAGTCCAATTAAACCTCTTTCTTATGTAAATTGCCAGTCTTGGGTATGTCTTCATCAGCAGCATGAAAATGAATTAATACAGCAAGTTGGTACCAGTAGAGTGGAGGCTGCTGAAAAGATACCCAAAAATGTGGAAGTGACTTTAGAACTGGATAACAGCAGAGGTTGAGACAGTTTGGAGGGCTCATAAGAGGACAGGAAAATGTGAGGAAGCTTGGAACTTCCTAGAGACTTGTTGAATGGCTTTGACCAAAAGCGTGATAGTGATATGGACAATAACAGTCCAGGCTGAGGTAGTCTCAGATGCAGATAAGGAACTTGTTGGGAACGGGAACAAAGGTGACTCTTGTTATGGTTTAGCAAACAGACTGGTGGCATTTTGCCCCTATCCTAGAGATTTGTGGAACTTTGAACTTGAGAGAGATGATTTAGGGTATCTGGTGGAAGAAATTTCTTAGCAGCAAAGCATTCAATATGTGACTTGGGTGCTGTTAAAGGCATTCGGTTTTATAAGGGAATCAGAGCATGAAAGTTCAGAAAATTTGCAGCCTAACAATGTGATAGAAAAGAAAAACCTATTTTCTCAGAAGAAATTCAAGCTGGCTGCAGAAGTTTGCATAAGTAACAAGGAGCCAAATGTTATTCCCCAAGACAATGGGGAGAATGTCTCCAGGGCATGTCAGAGGTCTTCATGGCAGCCCCTCCCATCACAGGCCCAGAGGTCTAGGAGAAAATGGTTTCCTGGGCTGGGCCCAGAGTTCCCTTGCTGTATGCAGTCCAGGGACTTGGTGCCTGTGCCCAAGCCACTCCAGCCGTGACTAAAAGGGGTCAAGGTACAACTTGGGCTGTTGCTTCAGAGGATGGGAGCCCCAAGCCTTGGCAGCTTCCACATGGTGCTGAGCCTGTGGGTGCACATAAGTCAAGAACTGAGGTTTGGGAACCTCCACCTAGATTTCAGAAGATGTATAGAAACATCTGGATGCCCAGGCAAAAGTTTCCTGCAGGACCAGGGCCGTCATGGAGAACTTCTGCTAGGGAAGTGCAGAAGGGAAATGTGGGGTTGGAGCCCACAGACAGAGTCCCTACTGGGGCAGCACCTAGTGGAGCTGTGAGGAGAGGGCCACCATCCTCCAGACCTCCGACAGGTCAATGGTAGATCCACTGTGAGCTTGTAACATGTGCCTGGAAAAGCCACAGACAATGTGAGCCTGTTAAAGCATCCAAGAGGGAGGCTATACCCTGCAAAGCCACAGGGGTGGAGCTGCCCAAGACCATGGGAATCCACCTCTTGCATCAGTGTGAGACATGGAGTCAAAGGAGATCATTTTGGAGCTTTAAGATTTGACTGCCTCACTGGATTTTGGACTTGCATGGGGCCTGTTGCCCCTTTATTTTGGCCAGTTTCTCCCATTTGGAACAGCTGTGTTTACTCAATACCTATACCCTCTTTGTATCTAGGAAGTAATTAGCTCTTTTTTTTTTTTAATTTACAGGCTCATAGGCAGAAAAGACTTGCCTTGTCTCAATGAGACTTTGGACTGTGGACTTTTGAGTTAATACTGAAATGAGTTAAGACTTTGGGGGACTCTTGGGAAGGCATGATTTGTTTTGAAATGTGAGAACATGAGATTTGGAAGAGGCCATGTGCAGAATTATATGGTTTGGCTATGTCCCTACCCAAATCTCATCTTGAATTCCCACATGTTGTGGGAGGGACCATGTGGGAGGTAATTGAATCATAGGGGCAGGTCTTTCCCTTGCTATTCTCATGATAGTAAGTTTCACAAGATCTGATGTTTATTGTAAGGGGCAGTTTTCCTCCACGATCTCTTTTTGCTTGCTGCCATTCTTGTAAGATGTGACTTGCTCCTCCTTGCCTTCTGCCATGATTGTGAATCTTCCCCAGCCACATGGAACTGTAAGTCCCATTAAACCTCTTTCTTTTGTAAGTTGTCCAGTCTTGGGTATGTCTTTATCAGCAGTGTGAAAATAGACTAATACCGTGATAAACCCCACCTCCAACCAGGATGAGCTAAAATGGCTTTCCTGACCATCTGTCCATTCTTTGCAAGGTATCATTAAGACGTATTTAACTGCCTGCCCTCCCTACTAACCTGAAAGCTTTGTGAAAACTACCACCCTAGTTCCAGCAAAGCTTACACTGATTAGATGTGTAATACTTCTTTTCAGTCAGAGATCTTGTCGTTGGGCAAGGTCTGAGACCTCTAAAGAGTAATCTGGAGTCTGCTTCATGTCCGATGGATGAAGCCCATCATACCTCGTAGAAGATATAATAAAGAAAGTACCATGCCTTGCTGCTGCTGAAACACCTGCCAAGAACTCTGATGTGGTGGCATTTTGCCTGGTTTCTTTCCTGGAATTCTTCCTCCCCTAGCATACTTGATTTATATTTTAAAATGAGCCATTCTCTTAATTATTGAGCATTTGTAGAACATCATGTGCTTACAGAGCACTCTAAAATATCCTATAAATTATTTTCATCTATGCATAGAAAGATGATATTTGTGATATATCCATTCTTTAGATGGAAAAACTAGTGAAAAGATTACCATGCTATCATACAACTAGCCAGAAAGGGGGTCATTTATTTGTTTCTTCTCTTAAGACACAACAATTCTCTAGAAATTATAGCTATGAGTTTTGTTTTGTTGCTTCTGTACAGCCTCGGACAGCCTTTCTTTGTCTATCAAAATAAGCAATAGGGAAATATGTGTTTTTTCTGAAACATGTGCTAAATAGAAAGTTCAGAATTTCTCCATTCAGTGGCAAGCTGAGCCTTCAACTACTCATAAATATTGAAGCAATGATTATGTAATACATTAGTTTCAGTAAATACTAGTGAGAAATATATACTATAATACTATAGGCTTTCACTTGACTTTTTTCAAAAGTGTTTTCGTCCCATTTTATGTTTAATATGATACTTTTTGGCAGGTATTTTATTTATTATATAAAATATACCCACCACAAATCTTTAAACTGCCTTGAACCCTGAGTTTCACTCATTCGATCAAAAAAATTATTTCTAAGTTTTTGTAATATGTTCCAGGAAAATAAGTCTATAGCTTTTCTACCCTGCCAAAAAAATATTACATCAGCATTCCCACAATAAATAAAAATAAAATAAAAGTTTTTATTACTTCATAAAATTAACTCTCTCAGCATGTTTTACACACAAATTATTGCTATTCAATAATTACATTTTTTAGATTGTTCAAAAATTTAAAAATGTATATATCTGTCAGTGTAAGTATTGTTTATCTTAAGTTTCACATTACTGTTTAATTTGCATTGTACAGATTTGTCCTCAATGAATGATTTGAATAATGAGATTAACTCTAAACAAAATCAGTTTGGTTTGCTATATATTTAAAGAAATGAACCAATCATCAAAGAAAAAAAACAGGC
Organism: Homo sapiens; assembly: GCF_000001405.40. Classification (NCBI taxonomy): domain Eukaryota; kingdom Metazoa; phylum Chordata; class Mammalia; order Primates; family Hominidae; genus Homo; species Homo sapiens. The sequence continues at coordinate 91,698,537 of NC_000005.10, read as the reverse complement.
CAAAAAATGTGTCCTTTTGGTGACTACCCAGGGAACACATTTGGAATTGACTATCCCTTCAATTTCTAAGGCATGTTGCTATTTGCTGAATTTAGTTTTGTGAAAGATGGAATTAGGCTCCACTAAGATTATTCCATACACAAATTCCAGATATATTCAAGACTTCAATGGGTTTTACCCACAAACAAGAAAAATGTGAAAATGAAGTTCAACAACTATTGGTATGTCATCAAAACATTTTTTCTCCCAGAAAGCAGAGTCTACTATGCATGTTATCCATCATTACTGTTACTCTCTGATCCAAATCTGAAGCTTGCATCTTCGTATGGATCTTTTTTCCTTTTGCTTACTTGACATTAAAAAAAAAATCATACCTACATAATAAATAATATGATATTTTTTAATCCAGAGATTTTTTAGAATTACCTATGCTCACTAATTTCTAATTCTAGTCAACTCTTCCCTATTCCTGAAGTAGCATATACTGTATTTCAGCTCAAGAACAGAATCCATTGTTTAGGTTTTCACTTCAAGTCATGGAAATTATTTTAAGAATATTGGTAATCATCCAATTTTTCACAGAATAATATCAGATGTCTATGGCATATATTTTACCTGTAAAGTATTCTGCTATTAGCTAAACAGCTTTTGATAATTAAATTGAAATACATAACTTTATACAAGACTCTTCTTTTTTAAAAAAATATTTATTTTTATTTTTATTTCCATAGGTTATAGGGGAACAGGTGGTGGTTGGTTACATAAGTAAATTCTTTAGTGGTGATTTGTGAAATTTTGGTGCACCCACCACCCAAGCAGTATACATTGCATCCAATTTGTAGCCTTTTGTCCCTCACATCCTTCCCGCCTTTTCCCCCGATCCTCAAAGTCCATTGTGTCATTCTCATGCTTTTGCATCCTTATAGCTTAGCTCCCACTTATGAGTGAGAAAATACAATGTTTGCTTTTCCATTCCTGAGTTACTTCACTTAGAATAATACTCTCCAGTCTCATCCAGGTCACTGTGAATGCCATTAATGCATTCTTTTTATGGCTGAGTAGTATTCCATTACATATGTATACCACAGTTTCTTTATCCATTCGTTGATTGATGGGCATTTGGGTTGGTTCCACGTTTTTGCAACTGTGAATCGTGCTACTATAAACAGGAATGTGCAAGTACCTTTTTCGTATAATGACTTTTCCTCTGCGTAGATAGCCAGTAGTGGGATTGCAGGATCAAATGGTAGTTCTAATTTTAGCTCTTTAAGGGCTTTCCACACTGTTTTCCATAGTGGTTGTACTAGTTTACATTCCCACCAGCAGTGTAGAAGTGTTCCCTGTTCACCGCATCCATGCCAACATCTGCTATTTTTGTATTTTTTGATGATGGCTATTCTTGCAGCTGTAAGGTTGGATTACATTGTGGTTTTCATTTGCATTTCCCTGATCACTCGTGATGATGCATTTCTTTATATGTTTGTTGGCCATTTGTATATCTTCTTTTGAGAATTGTGTATTCATGTCCTTAGCACACTTTTTGATGGGGTTGTTTGTTTTTTCTTGCTAATTTGTTTGAGTTTGTGTAGATTCTGGATATTAGTCCTTTGTCAGATATATAGATTATGAAGATTTTCTCCCACTCTGTGGGCTGTCTGTTCACTCTGCTGACTGTAGAATACAACAAAGTTTCTGGATACAAAATTAATGTATGCAAATTAGTAGCTCTTCTATACACCACCAGTGACCAAGCTGAGAATCAAGTCAACAACCCAACCCATTTTACAATAGCTGAAAAAACACAACTTAGGAATATACCTAACCAAAGAGGTGAAACACCTCTACAAGGAAAACTACAAAACACTGCTACAAGAAATCACAGACAACACAAACAAATGGAAACACATCTCATGCTCATGGATGGGTAAAATCAATATTGTGAAAATGAGCATATTGCCAAAAGCAATCTACAAATTCAATGCAATTCCCATCAAAATACCACCATCATTCTTCACAGAACTAGAAAAAACAATCCTAAAATTCATATGCACCCAAAAAAGAGCCCTCATAGCCAATGGAAGACTAAGCAAAAAGAACAAATCTGGTGGCATCACATCACCTTATTTCAAACTATATTATAAGGCCATAGTCACCAAAACAGCATGCTACTGGTATAAAACAGGCACATAGACCAATGGAACAGAATAGAGAACCCAGAAATAAACCCAAATAATTACAGCCAACTTATCCTCAACAAAGCAAAAAAAAAACATAAAGTGGGGAAAGGACACCCTGTTCAACAAATGGTGCTGGGATAACTGGCAAGCCACATGTAGGAGAGTGAAACTCGATCCTCGTCTCTCACCTAATACAAAAATCAACTCAAGATGGAAGAAGGACTTAAATTTAAAACCTGAAACTATAAAAATTCTAGAAGATAACATTGGATAAGCCCTCCTAGGTAGTGGCTTAGGCAAGGAATTCATGACCAAGAACCCAAAAGCAAATGCAATAAAAACAAAGATAAATAGCTGGGACTAAATTAGAGCTTTTGCATGGCAAAAGATGCTTCTTGCAGTAGAATAATCCCAAATACTCAAGAAGCCTCAAAAAACCACTTACCATGGGACATTTTTTCCTCATATTAATATAGCTAAATTTGTCTCAATGTAACATCCAGTTCTGATTTCTACTATTGCCTTTTGAAATAAATCAAATGTCTTTCTTCAAATAAATACTGACAGACATATGTCTAAACATTCATTCATTCATAAATTAATTCATTAAGCAAATAACTATTCAACTTCTACCCTGTAGCAAGAACCATTTTTGAATAAAACAAAAATGGCCTCTATGCCATCAGAGCTTGCTCTTTAATAAAGCATTTATCTATTTATTATAGGTAATTTTTCTTTGAACATGGTTTTTAGAATGTTAGCATACTTTCTATACTTAGTTTTGATTAATTTTAGCTTTTCAATATTCCTCTCAGAATAAATAAAATTAAGTCTAACCAAATCTCTAACTTTATTACATTATGCTGTATTATTTATATAAATTATTTATATAAATATGACATACTCTAACATATTATTTTACATTGTATAGTATACTTCCCCACTAAAACATACATACATTCAACACAGAATATCAAATCAGTCCACTTCTTATCTGGATGCTGCTTTGATTCATCCAGAACAATGCTCCTAGAAAAACACATTTGGGTCCTTGATGACCACTAGACATGAAGTCAAAATAAATCATTTTGTCTCTCTGAGTTTACATTTACACTTACAGAATGAAATAATTCCTATATTACTTATGGGGTTATGAGGACCTGATTAAAATTAAGTATGCAAATCAATAGATAGATAGTGATATGGTATGGTTCTATGTCACCACCCAAATCTCATGTTGAATTGTAATTCCCAATGTCGAGGGAAGGATCTGGTGGGTGTTGATCGGATCATGGGGGTGAATATCCCCCTTGCTGTTCTCATAATAGTGAGTGAGTACTCATGAGATCTGGTTGTTTGAAAGTGTGTAGCACTTCCGCCTTCACTCTCTCTCTCCCACTCTGCCATGTGAAGATGTCTTTGCTTCCCCTTCGTCCTTCTGCCATGATTGTTAAGTTTCCTGAGTTTTCTGAGGCTTCCCAGCCATGCCTCCTGTAGAGCCTGTGGAACTGTGAGTAAATTTAACCTCTTTTCTTTATAAATTACTGTCTCAGGTAGTTCTTTATAGCAATGTGAAAACAGACTAATATAGATGGATAGATAGATAGATAGATAGATAGATAGATAGATAGATAGATAGATACATAGATAGATACATAGATAGATACATAGATAGATAGATAGATAATACATATAGTGTAAGCTGTAATTTGCTACACAAGTATACCAGTAATATTGTTATTGTTACTATTATTATTCTTACTTTTTTAGGAGTTCCATATATCTCTGACATTAATTTATTTTATATATTGCAATTGTTATTTCCAATTTTTAAAACAAGGGTTTAATTAAAAAATATTTATTAAGTGCCATATACTAACAAATTTAATTATTATATGTGTGGCCTCCTATGCTTCACTTAACACTCATATCAACTCAGTTAAATAATGACTATTATTTATATGACTACACCTATATTTATATATAATGCTTTATTCTCTTAATAAGATTATACAGGATAAGAGCGCATTAGCTATGTTAGAAACCACATCACATTGTTGGCCAAAATGTAACACTATAGCTTTTACTGCTTCTTGTTTTGCTTTATTGATTAATATTAAACACTCACTATAATGTCAGATGTTGCCCTAACCTGTATTTCCACAGCTGACTTTTTGAACTCAAGTTCAGTATTTACTTATATTTTCATTATACTTACATTTGATTATTTCTAGCCATCATTCATCTTGAAATCTTAATTTTGTCCTCAAATATTTCCATTATCTCTCCAAGCTTTGATTATGAATATTTTAATAATCTTTCACTCCACATCTTCAACCAACTTGATGGAACTATAAAAAAGAACATCAGCTTTAAGAAACCCTGACACAGTTCAAAATCCCAGATTAATATTGTCTCACCAATAATGTGGTAAATCCTTTTACCCCTTCAAAAATATTTCTAATAAAATAAAAAATATGACTGGAGTCTGAATAATGAAACAGTAGTAGTTACAGGTGTGTTTGTACCTGTATTCGTCTGTTCTCATGCTGCTAATAAAGACATACCTAAGACTGGGTACTTTATAAAGGAAAGATGTTTAATTGACTCGCAGTTCCACATGGCTGGGGAGGTCTCACAATCATGGCTGAAGGCAAATGAGGAGCAAAGTCATGCCTTACATGGTGGCAGGCAAGTGAGCTTGTGTAGGTGAACTGCCCTATATAAAACTATCAGATCTCATGAGATTTATTCACCATCTCAAAAACAACATGGAAAGACCCACCCCATGATTCAATTACCTCCCACTGGGTCCATCCTGTGACACATGAGAATTATGGGAGCTACAATTCAAGGTAAGATTTGGGTGGGGACACAGTCAGAACACATCAGTACCCTATTTGGTGTTCCTCTGTAAAGAGGGGATGTCTTAGAAATATATGCCTAAATAGTGATTTCCTGAAAGTCTGTGATCTAATAGTCAGTATTTTTACACGGTGAAGCAAATGGTTAGGGACAGAGAGTAGAGGGATAGTTGAGGCATGGTGATGTAGTTTGGCTCTGTGTCCCCACCCAAATCTCATATCAAATTGTAGTCCCCACTGTTAGAGGAGGAACCTTGTGGGAGGTGATTAGATCATGGAGGCAGATTTCCCCTTTGCTGTTCTCATGATATCTGGTTGTTTGAAAGTGTGTAGCACTTCCCCCTTCACTCTCTCTGTCTCTCCCACTCTGCCATGTGAAGACGTGCTTGCTTTCTCTTTGCCCTTCCACCATAATTGTAAGTTTCCTGAGGCCTCCCAGCAATGCTTCATGTAAAGCCTGCAGAACTGTGAGTCAATTAAACCGCTTTTCTTCATAATTCACCCAGTCTCAGGTAGTCCTTTATAACAGTGTGAAAATGAACTAATACAGAAAATTGTACCAAATAAGTGGGGCATCGCTATAAAGATACCTGAAAATGTGGAAGCAGCTTTGGAACGGGGTAACTCAGAGGTTTGAACAGTTTGGAGGGCTCAGAAGACAGGTAGATGAGGGAAAGTTTGAAACTTCCTGAGGACTTGTTAAATTGCTGCAACCAAAATGCTGATAGTGATATGGACAATGAAGTTCAGGCTGAGGTGGTCTCAGATGGAGCTGAGGAACTTATTAAGAACTGAAGTAGGATTACTCCTGCTCTGCTTTAGCAAAGAGACTGGTGACACTGTGTCCCTGCTCTAGAGATGTGTGGAAATTTGAACTTGAGAGAGACGATTTAGGGTGTCAATTGGAAGAAATTTCTAAGGAGCAAAGCATTCAAGATATGGCCTTGCTACTTCTAAAAGCCTATGTTCATTTGCATAAACAAAGAAATGACCTGAAACTAAAACTTATATTTAAAAGGGAAGTAAGGCATACAAGTTTGGAAAATGTGCAGCCTGATCATTCAGTAGAAAAGAAAAAACCCATTTTCTGGAGAGGAATTCAAGGCTGCAGAAACTTGCATAAGTAGAGCCAAATGTTAATAGCCAAGATAATGAGGAAAGTGCCTTCAGGGCCCTAGTGGCAGCCCCTTCCATCACAGGCCTGGAGACCTAGGAGGGAAAAATGGTTTCACATGCCAGGGCCAGGGCCCTGCTGCTGTGTGCAACCTTGGGACATGGCATCCTGCATCCCAGCCATTCCAGTTCCAGCCATGGCTAAATGGGGCCAAGGTACAGCTCAGGACATTGCTTCAGAGGGAGCAAGCCCCAAGCTTTGGTGGCTTTCATGTGGTGTTGGGCCTACAGGTATGCAGAAAGCAAGAGTTGAGGTTTGGGAGTTTCCATCTAGATTTCAAAGGATGTATAGAAATGCCTGGATGTCCAGGAAGAAGTACGCTGCAGGGGTAGAGGCATCATGAAGAACCTCTACTAGTGCAGTGCAGAGAGGAAATGTTGGTGTTGGGGCCCCACACAGAGTCCCCACTGGGACACTGCCTAGTGGAGCTGTAAGAAGAGGGCCAATTTATCCAGACCCCAGAGATGGTAGATTCACTGCTAGCTTGCATCATGTACCTGGAAAAGCCGCAGGCACTCAATGCCAGCCCGTGAAAGCAGCCATGGGGGCTGTACACTGCAGAGCCACAAGGGCAGAGCTGCCCAAGGCCCTGTGAGGCCTGGATGTAATACCTGAAGTCAAAAGAGATTTAAGACTTAAGGACTGACCTGCTGGGTTTTGGATTTCCACAGGGTCCAAGCCCCTTTGTTTTGGCCAACTTCTCCCATTTGGAACAGGAGTATTTACCCAATGCCTGTACCCCCACTGTATCTTGGAAGTAACTAACTTTTTATTTTACAGGCTCATAGGCAGAAGGGACTAGCTTTGTCTCAGATGAGACTTTGGATTTGGACTTTTGAGTTAATGCTGGAATCAGGTAAGATTTGGGGGAACTGTTGAGAAGGCATGACTGTCTTTTGAAATGTGAGAAAGATATGAGATTTGGGAGGAGCCAGTGATATGGTTTGGCTCTGTGTCCCCACCCAAATCTCATGTCAGATTGTAATTCTCAGTGTTTGGAGATGGGGGGCAACTGGTGGGAGGTGATTGAATCATGGGGGTGGATTTCCTCCTTGCTGTTCTCATAACAGTGAGTTCTCACAAGGTCTGGTTGTTTGAAAGTGTGTAGCACTTCTTCCTTCTCTCACTCACTCCTGCCACTATATGAATATCTGCTTGCTTCCCCTTCACCCTTCTGCCGTGATTTTAAGTTTCTTGAGATCTCTGAGTCATGCTTCCTGTACAGCCTGTAGAACTGTGAGTCGATTAAACTTCTTTTCTTCATAAATTACCCAGTCTCAGTTCTTTATAGCAGTGTGAGAATGGACTAATACACACGTGGAACTGACTTTTTTTTATAAGAAGTCACTCATTAAGATTTTAGAGGAAGGGTTGATACAGAAAACCAGTTTAGACAAGGGATGAAGAAATTTTTAAGAGCACAGACAAAGAAGTTATGATGAACTTTCTATGGTCAGAGGCCTAGGATAGGCTTTTACCTTCAAGTTCAGTGAACTACTTCATCTTCAGTCTCCTATAGAACTCAGTACCCTTGTTATTATGGATCTTGCTGTATTGAACCATTTGTATCGGCATGTCTGTACAGAATACATACACACATTAGCATTCAGATACTTAAAGGAGAATACTTTTTGATGTAAAAACAATAGCTATCCAAGAGAAAGAACTCTGTACCTTCAAGACAAAGTAATGTGGTAGAAATACTTTTGCCTTTTGGTTGGGTAGAATGGGATAATCAATAAAATTTAGAATGACCCAAAGTTCACGGCTGATCCACTTCGAGTTATAGCAGGAAGGGCAATGAAGAGAATCAAAAGCTTTAAAATGAGTAAAGCTGATGAATATGAAAATGTGTACCTCTATAATATGTGTATATTTTGCACCCTAACCTGCCATAATTCCAGTAAAATTACCTGTGAACACTAGTTTTCTATAAGGATGAAAAATACTGAACTAAATATTATTCATGAAGGAACATTGCAGAAGAAGAGAAGGAAGAAAATCCCTCACTTTTGGGTCATGGGATTGGTGCAAAGCGTTTCTGTTTGCCTTGTTTCACAACTTCTTTACTCCAGATTCCATTTTTGATTGAGTGGTTATTCACTTAGGCAGCTGTGAGGATAGGGTGGGAATTTTTCTCCTCCCTCCTATGAGAAAATGAGAAGGTAACTTCAGTTTTAATAGTCCCAAAGAAGTCTAGTGTCACTTTCCCCTATATGGTGCTGGTGGGTAGTCTACCACAAATGGACCAGATATTGAACTCAGAGGATAGGCCTTGAAATTTTAGGATGATTTGAGTGTGGGACATTGCTATGGTTTGAATACATTCCCTCTAAATTTTATATGCTGCCAATGTAAATATTAAGAAGTGTGGTCTTCAAGAAGTGATTACTTACATCATGAGGGCTCCTCTCTCATGAATGGAATTAAAAAGCTTTTAAAAAAGTTCCATGCAGTGTTAGGCCTTTTTGCCCTTTGACCTTCTGCCATGTAAGAACACAGCCTTCCTTCCCTCCAAAGGACTCACTGTTCAAGACATCATCTTGGAACACAGAGCAGCCTTCCCCAGATAACAAAACTGTTGGCACCCTTGTCTTGGGCTCCTAACCTCCAGAACTATGAGAAATAAATTTATGTTTTTAATTGTATGTTCTCACTCATATGTGGAAGGTAAGCTATGAGGACATAAAGAGATAAGAATGATATATTGGACTCTGGGGACTCTGGGGAAAGGGTGGGGGGTGACAAGGGATAAAAGACTACAACTGTGTACAGTGTACACTGCTCGGGTGATGGGTGCACCAAAACCTCAGAAATCACCACTAAAGAACTTATCCATGTAACCAAATAACACCTATTACCCAAAAACCTATTGAAATAAAAATAAATTTCTGTTTTTGAACTACCCAATCTCAGATATTCTATTATAGCAACACAAATGAACTGAGATGGGTAAACAGATAAGTATCAGTGTAAAGAGGACGATTACTGAACTCTTATGACCTTGTTAAATATGATAAAATATCCACTATTTATCAGAATTTATTAGAAAATGCTGCAGTATACTTCAATATCTATAGATATACGTATACCTAAATTTTCTGTAGTTTAATAATAAGAATGTTTGAAATCCCATGTGTTGACTTACACATTTTTGAGGCTTTTAGAATACTAATTAAAAGAAAGGTATACCTTTACATCTGTTTAAACTCTTAATGTTTGAAAGAATTAAAAACATAGTCCATTATTAAAAGTTCTAAAATTTTAAGATCAAATACACAAATAGAGTCCAGAGAATAATGCCAAACTGTTCTTCAGCTTTCCTCTTCAGTAAATGGTACAAAATCTGTCACTAAGGAAGGACATTGGGAGATTTCTTCTTTCTTGCTCCCTCTTTGTTTCTTTCCCTTCTTCTTACTACCCTGCCCTCCTCATTTGAGTCCTTCTCTCTCTTCTCAGCCCCTAATGCAGATTTTCTGTGATTCTGTTCCCTTCTGTTTTCCACTCCTTACAGATAAAATGAGGCACTAGTCTTCACGTCCAGCCTGCTGAAGCGAGGGATAAAGCGAACCACTTTTCAAACACATCCTCCTGATGACACGTTTTTGAGACAAATAAACCTTTCTACTGTTACATTGAACCACTTCCTATACCCTTGTTCCATAGGCTGTTTTACTGATAAAGAACAACTTTCTTTTCCACTAATTCCTAAGGTTGCCAAGTTGGTTTTTGGCATAACTCTGGAGCTTTATTCTGATTACAGTGTTTCTGTTCATTTCCTCATTCTTTTCAAAAATCAATTTTTATTATTTCAGGAATCAAGAAAGAAAGTTGAGAGAAAGCAAGTGGAACTCATTCCTCCACAAATACTACACTTGCCCCAAACTAATGACTATGATTTCTTTGTCTATATGATACATGAATGCTTGATTCCATTCTTCATCACATTCTTCAGTGCAATGCCAAGAAAATACTTTAGAGACAGAAACAAAAGGACAGCATAAGTTATAGAGTTATACCTCAAAAAGGACAGTTAAATGATACATTTTGTGATCAAATCCAAGTCCAAGTCTGCCCAAAATAGCTCATTTCCTCTCCTCAGGAAATCAATGATAATTTTAAAATGATAATTAAGTGAGATAAAAAGAGGCATTTTTTTTCTCTGTCACAGTAGCCCATGGCCATTTGATGGCCTGCTCAATCTTAAACCACACCTAACTCTTAAGAATAAGAGTCAGTTGTAGGGAAATAACATCTACCAGCCTAAACACTTTTAGGTTGACTAATCAATGAATTTTCATTCATTTTTTAATAAAAGCATTTTCATATATATTTTTATCTTCCTGCCCTCAGAATATTTATTCAAGAAAGAGTGCATACGTTTTTTATTGCAGTATAACAATTTACCACAAACTTAGCAACTTAAAACAGTCGTTTATTTTCCCACAGTTTCTGTAGGTCAGAAGTCTGAACTCTGCTTATCAGGGTGCATTGCTCAGGATCTGACAAGGCAGCGCTCAAAGTGTGAGCCAGAGCTGTGTCCCATCTGAGGCCCCAGATTCTCCTGCAGGCTAATGTGGTTACTGGAATATTCTTTCTTTGCAGCTGTATAACTCAGTGTGGCTTGCTTCCTCAAAGCCAATAGCAAAGAGTATTTCTTATTCCTGGACCCTTTTTCAAAGGTTCACCTGATTAGGTCAGGCTCACCCAGGATAATCTCCCTTCTGATTGGCTCAAAGTCAGCTGACTAGAGGAATCAAAATTATATCTGAAAAAAGTCCATTTTACGACATAATGTAATTTACTCACAAGACAGACATCCTCATATTGACAGGTTTGATCCACCCTGAAGGAGAAGAGATTAAACAAAGCTTGTTTATCAGGGGCAAGAATCTTATGGGACATCCTAGAATTCTGCCTACCATATGGAGAAAAGTTAAATCATTTTAATAGTTCAGCAGCAGAATTTTAGAGCAATCATTTGGCATTCAAGTGTGTCATATTTCCTAACTGTGAAACTGTTAAGAATGAATTTTAATTTTACATAGATTTATTTCATTCTTCAATTTTAGCATAAGCTCTCTCTTTTCCCCCCTCCTCCATCACTCTCACCCCTCTTACCCAAATCCTTGGTATCACTTATTTTCTCTTGCTGTGATCTCGAGCTGCTGAGACAATCTCCTGAGAGGGCAGGAACACTGGTGTTTTCAGGATCTGGCGCCATGCCTCTGCCCTCATTAGTGCATGCAGTTGTGCATATTAAAGAAATAAATCTTTCTAGTGACTACTCTGTGTCAGAATTACCTTCACTTAAATGAAATTATAACATTAACTTGAGATTCCTGAATTAAAAAAAAAAGCCTCACTCCACTTAGATTTGTTCTCCCCACCAGCCTGTAAACATGATTTGGTATGTTTCCTTTTCTTCTTTTAAAAGATGTCCTTTTCATAACTGAATAAAATAAAATTGTGAATGCTGACATTTGAGGGTATATTGCCCAAGTCTTTTCCATTCCAGTTTATTTTACACATCACCTTTAAATTATTGCTTCCAAATTACAACCCAGATTTCCTCTGACCAAAAGCACCCAATAATTCACCTAGCTTATTCAACTCCTGACTTCTGTGACATCTACATCGACAAAGTGAATTCCTGAGGATTGAAAAATTGTTGCCTTGATTGTTTTTATATTCACAGATCTTAGCACAACACATGCAGTAAATTGCTTCATACATATTTGCTGAATAGAATTAAATGAGACTGCCCTTTAACCTAGCATTCAATGCTTTCCCATACACAAGCATCCCCATGTTTTCCAAAACTTTTCAATTCCTGTTTTTCTTCACTTCCTCAGTGCCTCTGTCAAGCAGGGCTTTTGCTGTGCTCTTCATTCCTCAACATTTGACTTATTTCATCCTGAAAAAACACCATCCCAGTATAATGCCACTTGATCTGTGGACTCTTTGCTGAATCAACTCACTCCCCACCTCACCAGTCGTGAATAATATTCCCCACCTTTCAACATTCATATGATTTTTTCTGTAACTCAGTTATGAACCTTTTATGTTCTACCAAACATTGCAATTATTTATGTTGAAATTTGAGTCCTGCTACTGGATTTTATACTTCTTGGAGGTGATATTTTATCTCTCACAGTGTTTGACACACAGAGTAGACACTAAATAAATAAATACTTTAAAGAATCAAAAAGTCTTTGTAAGCTATAGACTATTATTTCTCTCTTTTTATTACCAAAATCCTTTGCAAACGATTAATATTTGGTGACCAGTGATATTTTGAGTTTCTTCACTGTAATTTTGATTTTCATTTATGCTTCACTAATTTCTATTTCATCTTTCCATCCTCATCACCATATATGTTACAACTGAATTAATGAAACCTTGTAAACTCTTTTTTCAGTAAATGTTTTAATTCTAAACAGAAATTGTAATGTATAACACTTAGGTCATTAGAAATTCCCTTGGCATATAGTATTATAATAACAAAGGCATTGAAATAGGGTTATTCTCTTTTTAAACTTTATTTGAATGATATTTCACGAGAATAAATCTAGAATATGTGACATATACCACCCAAATGGAAAGTAACATCATAACATTTTATTTTAAAATACTTCATTCTTAAAATGTTTTTCTCTAATAATATGTAATTTAATTTATAGATCATTTATAGAAAAATTTATAGAATATTAGTGTCTAATAATAATAGAAGCTCTTGTTTAGACCACTAATGATTACTTTCTGTAGTTCGACCTTCCTATGCTAGATATTTAAATTTTGTTTGCTTTCTTTAGAGGAAACACTTAAACACTTAGCTTATCTAAGGTGCAATGACCTGAATAATAGAAGCAGAGAAAACTGCTAATTTATAAATTTTAAATGGACAAACCTTGTAAATGGATTATGGAAGTTTAAACATAACAAATCAGCTGTAATCATGTAGTTAATGAACTTCCACAATTTAACTGTGAACTTTTCAAATGTTGGGTTATATTTATATTCAATGTCAAGTACATACAAGCCCAGGGTACAAAAGAAACCATTTAAAGACCTTCATAATTTTTGGAGGCTCCTAAGATTTCCGCTGAATTTATAAAATTTTCTGTGAACGAGTCTAGTAATCAAACTTGTCTTAATCTATTTCATTTAAATTTTTATTAAGAACCTGACTTCCTACTACAGAATAAGCTTTTTAAAGGCAGAGATTTGTGCTTTGATATTCATTTCTCTTTCTACTGTTAGGAGTTACACATAGGGTAGTCAATAAATGTCCAGTAAATCAAACTATGTAGTGCCTCGAACCAAACTACTATTTTTCAATATGATTACTACAGAGAACATATGGAGCATGAACTCTGCCCTAAAAATTCTCATCAGCTCTCTCATCATTACCTGTTAAAGCATTTTATCATAGTCTGAATCCTTTATGTTAGAGGTTGGCTGAGGCCTGGAATAAAGAATGAAAATGTGACAAATGGCCACTTATTGGTCATTAACTATCATGATTAGAGCAGCCTGCTTCTCAGAGTGAGGGTCAGCATTAAGAAATGAAACCATCCTTTAGAATATCCTCTTGATAGGAATGAAGCTGTTCATTATCTGATCATTAGGGTCCATGCCAAATAAAACACATTCCTCACACAACCCAAGTCCTAATTGTTCATTTAGTCATTGGCTTAAATGGGAAGCAATGAAAAAAGCCAGTAACTAAGCAACTGTACAATCTTAAGATCTCCATCTAAAAGCCTGGTGATATTTAAAACTAACGATATAGCTCAGGATAAATAACTATTGAGTCTAATTTTGAGAGATTATAAATGACACCCAGTGACATATGGAAACTATAAGTTACTGGTTAAGCTAAAAATTGTAGTAATTTTTAGCGTGCTATCTTACCTCATTACTGAAATAATACATATCAAAGAACTAGCTTCAAATACTTGAAAAAACAGTCTATCAACAAAATTACACTGGCATAAACTAAAGAATTGTCATACATAAGAATGATGAATACGGAAAGAAGAAAAACAGTAAAGGAAGTTGAAGACCTAAGTGATGGTTAATCTAGAAATAACATGGAAATTGGCAAAAACAGTGACAACAGTGACAAATATCTTGATACTAGCAAGAAGATATGACAAGACTCCTTATTAGGCATTTGAGAATTCTGAGTTCTCATTAAATTTTTATGTTACTTTGTGACCTTGGAAATATCAGCTAAGCCACATGAGCCTCAGTTTCCTCAATGATAAGAAGTGACTATTGCTTCCCCTGTTACCTTATTAGGTGATTAAGAGAAATTAAGAAGCTGCTTTAGAACTGTAGAACTATTATTAGAAACAGATAGTCCAGGAGGAGATATGATAACTTCATTCCTACCCTTGGCTCAGTTTCTTGCACTAATGTCAGGAGGATAAGACATATCTGTTAGAAGGATTTGTATTTAAAAAAAAATCTTCATATGTTCTTTGGTTCCCTGGCTTTGCTTGTTTAGGTTGTGTGCCCTAGAGCCTGAACCATTTGTTCTCAAAAGTACCCTAGTTTCAAAGTTACCCTTTTAAAATTTCCTTTTCCTCTTCTTTCTGTTAAGCTGTCCTCCTCCTTCTTGAAGGTTATCTGTTGATCTTCAGAGTTAGAAGGATCCAGATGGGACCCAGGAGTTTAAAAAAAAAAAAAAAAGGAAGTAAAAGGCTTAAGGTTTTATTAAGAGTTTCCAGTAATGATGAAAGAGGGCCTTAGTCTCTTTTAAGTTATTGTCTAGTCCTGTTCACAAAGGTAGAAATGAGGTCATAAATCTAAAAACAAACCACATCCAAAAATAACAAATGCATACTTTGTTTTTAGATCTTTCCAAAATCTGACGGCAGAGGAAGAAGAACACAAAGGTAATGGAATCCTAGTGGTCAAGACACCGCTATCTAGTCTCAAGATATGTGAGTTACTGACTCATTCCAGGGGCCCACAGAGCATTTAACAAACCTGGGTCAATGAGGAGTGTTGGATAAGGGCATAAATCAGGGTATTGGAACCAGATCATGCAGGCTAGAATTGGAGGGAAGAGAAGGAGAAGGAAAATCAAGGAGGTGGTTAAATTGAAAGATGTTTTGGAGCTAGTTGTCAAGAAGGATATCACTGAGCATTTTAAAGCATGGGCATGAATCAAAAATTGACAGAAAGGCAAAAATAAGGATCCAAAATATTAAAGAGAGAGGAAAAGAGCTGCTCAAAGTCTATGACAAATAAAAGAACAGATGATCCTCATTTAAATAATTTTAAAAACAGGGAAGAGAATAGTTAAGAGGCTCCCAGAAGCAGCCAGGGCCAACCTCATAGGCCTTGACCTGTGCAACCACAAATGACCCCTCGCTTAGAAAGGCTCCATGCTTGATTTCATCCTCTCCTGTTACCACCTTGAAATTCTTCATTTTTTAATGGACTCCATTTTTGTTTTTCAGTGGGCCTACAAATTATGCAGCCGGCCCTTCAAGGAGTCTTTGTTTTGGGGTATTCTTCCGTCACACATGTAAAACCCCTAAAAAGCTTAGAGCTTCTTTCTGGGTGTTACAATATCAATTTACCACATGCTTATGGAAGTGAGTAAATTCTCTTAATAGGGAGCAGATATAGAATTTGGCAACAAAAATGGGCAACAGAAAATGGAGAAATAATATCAAGAAGAAAACCGTTTTAAAAAGTATCTTGATATTTTTCAAAGCAATTTCCTCCCTCTATAAACTGTCAGTGCACTACTTTTTTTAATTTTTAATTTTTGTGGGTACATAGTAGGTGTATATTTTTACAGGGTATGTGAGATATTTTGATGCAGGCATGAAATGTGTAGTGATTACATCAAGGAAAATGGAGCATCTATCCCTCAAGCATTTATCCCTTGTGTTACAAGCAATCGAGTTACAATCTTTAGTTATTTTAAAATGTACAGTTAAATTACTTTGACTATAGTCCCTCTGTTGTGCTATCAAATACTAGGTATTATTCATTCTTTCAACTATTTTTTTAATCCTTCCACACCACTCCCTGTCCCCCACCCCCTTCTCAGCCTCTGGTAACCATCCTTCTACTTTCTAGATCACTGCACTTCTTTTCACAAATATCCCAAGATACAATGAATAGGTTAAGTGCATTTTTAAAATATTCTTTTTTTCTAATTAAAACAAAAAACTTCCCAGACACAATAATTATGCCATATTTGCATTGATTAAGCATTTTTAAACAGTTCTTATTTTATCAATAAAACAATTAATTTGAAGGATATGAAGAGGTGCAGTTTTTCTTATGACTTATAAACCATTTGTCAGGGAAGGGAATTTTATGGATTTATTTTTACTCTTCTTTTTACCATTTATGGCAACTGTAAAAAACTAATCGATTGTGAAAATAATTACATCTCCATTTTAAGATGCCAGACTAAAGCAGATGATTTAAAGAAAAGTTTGTTGTATTGTTCAGAGATACAGCATAAAATACTGTTTTTTATAGTGTCAGTAAAGATTTTTTTTCTAGCTAACTGCATTTCTCCATTAATCAGCAATTTTGCCTCTGGTGGCATGAAAAGAGTTATTTTCTACCACAGTAAGACTTCAGAGAGTCAAAACGCTCATCTCTTTTAAAGTGAATATTCCCCAGTATTTATTTCCATCCAGACTAGTTTATTTCAGGAACCCATCTAATGGCATGGTTTAAATAACCTACCAAAATTACAGCTAAGACATAAAAACACCAATCCTATCGGCCAGCCAAAATTCCAGTGTGGTTCCTCAGAAGTTGAATGACTTTTTTTGGGCTATTCTGCAAACCTCAAGAAGCAGATCTGATGTGAACTTGACTGGTGGTGTTGCCATGCATCTAGCAGAGCATGACCTTCAATCAAGGATGCAGCAAAAGCTGCGATAATGAAGCATGTATCGAAACAGTCCTATTGACTTGCAGTAGATTTTTTGGACATTATCTAAGCTTTAGGGGAGTAAGGGATCAAACACTGAATGAAATTTTAATAAGTGCTGCTTTTACAAGAAGAATAGAAAACAAGGTTATTTCCTGATTTGTTTAAATTTTTTAAATCTAGGGTAAAGAAAAATAGACTAGGCAAATTTACCCAGATCATAGGAATAAAGGAATGGTTACAAAAGGAAATGTTAACTTGAATCTTTCCTGAATATTCTTAAAAATAAAAATATGTTACCTTTAAGACAATATAGTGTCTATCTCTCTCTCTCTATATATATATATATTTATATATTAAATATTTATATACATAATATATATTAAATATTTATACACATAATATATATTTATATATTAAATATTTATATACATATATATTTATATACAAATAACTTTATATAATATATAATTTTATATAACTATAAATATATATATAATTTATATATATAATTTTTTGCTAATAGGAGCCAGTGGGATCCAAAGAAAGAAATAGACAGTGCACCCAATGTGTTGAAGTTTCCTAAATAACATTTTGTTAATTTGGGATTTATGCCATAATCCTCAAGTTTTACCCTTAAAACAGAGATTTTATTAAAGTCTTACAGCAAAATTATAATTCTCAGAAAATCTTACACGCCATCTCTGTCCATTTCATGACAACATGACAACATATAAATACATGCTTGCCTATGAAATACAGAAGTGTTCACTATATGTTCTGAATGGGGCAGAAAGACAGGAGAGTTCTTACATCTGCGGAAGAAACTCAGGGAAAGATCCAGACAGGCCATGGCTGGTACTATCTGCTCACTGAGAAACAAAAACATAGAAAAAGAGGCACAGCTTGAAGGTGACTTTTAGTGTTTCACCATTGTAATGTTTCTTTTCATAATGTGTTAATAACTATAAGTTGAACATCTCCACTTGGAAAAAAAATGGTTGAAAAAATGCTACTTTTAGAGAGTATGCCTCAGGAAATAAATTGCTCTTCCAGTTTCTCTAATGTCTCTATTTCTGCCTCAGTCTTTGAAGGTCCATAGTGTAGTTGGAACAACAAACATACATCACAATAACATTCCCAAACAACATTAATCCAAGGCTTGATAATATAGCAGAAACTCATTCCAAAGGATGAGCTAATTCAGAAAGTATTTAATCAAGGAGGTCAGTCTTGATTGAGGCTTTGAAGCAAACAAGGTTTACTGCATCAACAAGAATGTTGACAAAGAAAAAGTAAAGAGTTTATTAATGATGGCAAGTTGACTTGAAATGGTGTGAAAGTTAGATTTAAAGGTACAAGATTTTCTTGACACCTTTGTTAATTATGTTAATTTTCTACAATGTAAGTGTGATATTCATTCATAACCAATATTTATTGATTCTCTACATTCTAGTCAAAGGATGATCACAATAAAAAATATATATTCTCCACTCTCAAGGATTTGTAATTTAGATATTAGGGCAATTTTGTATGTAACACTGGTGGATTTTTTTGTGAACATAATATATGTATTGAAATAAAGCCAATATTATTTACTCCATAATCTGTCTTGGAAATAAAATAAATACTTGCTCTTTTGAAATATTTTGAAATAATTTTAACTGAAGTAAGTAAACAACCATCTATGTTATTAGATATAAACATCCAGAAGGAAGAAATTGAGAAGTCACAAAGACAATTTCACTGGGAAGAGTTAGGCTGGAACTGAAGAGACATTTCAAACAATTCCAGCATGACCAGGTCACATGTGTCAAGGAGATTCAGCTCAGTGCTCTTGCCATCATAACAGATTTTTGACTTATTCAGATGTCTATGTAAATCAATGCTAACCAAGTGTTGTATCTAATATGCCTCCTATGTTTATATATGCATTAATTAAATTCTGAGGGTTATTATCAATAAATTGGCCAGCAAAGAATAAAAATGTCCACCACAAAAATTATTAAAGAATTGTATGCACATAAACTAAAAAAAATAGAAGAAACAGATAAATTCTGGGATGCATACACCCTCCCAAGATTGAACCAGGAAGAAATTGAATCCCTGAATAGACCAATAACAAGTTCTGAAATTGAGCCAGTAATAAGTAGCCTACCAACCAAAAAAAGCCCAGGACCAGACAGATTCACAGCTGAATTCTACCAGAGGAATGAAGAAGAGCTGGTCCCATTTCTACTGAAACTATTTCAAAACACTGAAAAGGAGGGACTCCTCCCTAACTTATTCTAGGAGGCCAACATCATCCCAATACCAAAACCTAGCAGAGACACAACAAAAAAAGAAAACTTCAGGCCAATATATTTGATGAACATCAATGCAAAAATCCTCAATAAAATATTGGCAAATTGAATCCAGCAGCACATCAAAAAGCTTTTCCACCAGAATCAAGTTGGCTTCATCTCCTGGATGCAAGGTTGGTTCAACATATGCAAATCAATAAACATAATTCATCACATGAACAGAACTAGAGACAAAAACCACATGATTATCTCAAAAGCTGTAGAAGAGGCCTCTGATAAAATTTGACATCCCTTCATGTTAAAAACTCTCAATAAACTAGGTACTGAAGGAACATTCCTCAAAATAATAAAAGTCATGTATTAAAAACCCACAGCCAATATCATACTGAATGGGCAAAAGCTGGAAGCATTTCCCTTGAAAAGCAGCACAAGACAAGGATGCCCTCTCTCACCAATCCTATTCAACATAGTATTGAAAGTTCTGGTCAAGGTAATCAGTCAAGAGAAAAAATAAAAGATATTCAAATAGGAAGAGATGAAGTCAAATTATCTTTGTTTGCAGATGACATGTTCCTATATCTAGAAAACCCCATCATCTCAGCCCAAAAGCATCTTAAGCTGATAAGCAACTTCAGCAAAGTCTCAAAATACAAAATCAATGTGCAAAAATTGCTAGCATTCCTATATACAAACAACAGGCAAGTAAAGAGCCAAATCATGAATGAACTCCATTCACAAATGCTACAAAAAGAATAAAATACCTAGGAATATAGCTAACAAAGGAAGCAAAGGACCTTTCCAAGGAGAACTACAAACCACTGCTCAAGGATATCAGAGATGACATAAGCAAATAAAAAAACCATTCCATGCTCATTGATAAGAAGAATCAATATTGTGAAAATGGCCATAGTACCCAAAGTAATTTATAGATTCAATGCTATTTCCATTAAACTACCATTGACATTATTCCCAGAATTAGGAAAAAACTATTTTAAAATTTGTATGGAAACAAACAAGAGCCCAAACAGCCCAGACAATCCTAAGCAAAAAGAACAAAGCTGGAGGCATCACACTACCCAACTTCAGACTTTTTTATAAGGCTACAGTAACCAAAATGGCATGATACTGGTACAAGAACAGACACATAGACCAATGGAACAGAATAGAGAACTCAGAGGTAGTAAGATTGACACCTACAATCATCTGATCTTCAACAAATCTGACAAAAACAAGCAATGGGGAAAAGATTCTCTATTTAATAAAAGGTGCTGAAAGAACTGGCTAGCCATACACAGAAAATGAAACTGGACCCCTTCCTTACATCATATACAAAAATTAAGTTGGATTGAAAACTTATTGACATGCCGGGCACAGTGGCTCACGCCTGTAATCCCAGCACTTCGGGAGGCCGAGGTGGGCAGATCACGAGGTCAGGAGATTAAGACCATCCTGGCTAACATGGTGAAACCCCGTCTCCACTAAAAAAGTAGAAAAAAAATTAGCCAGGCGTGGTGGCAGGCACCCGTAGTCCCAGCTACTCGGGAGGTTGAGGCAGGAGAATGGTGTGAACCCGAGAGGTGGAGCTTGCAGTGAGCAGAGATCACGCCACTGCACTCCAGCCTGGGCGACAAAGTGAGAGTCTGTCTCAAAAAAAAAAAAAAAAAAAAAAAAAAAAATTATTAACAAATATAAAACCCCAAACTAGAAAAATCCTAGAAGAAAATCCAGGCAATAGCATTTAGGACATAGGCACAGGCAAAGATTTAATGACAAAAACACCAAAAGCAATTGCAACAAAAGCAAAGATTGACAAATGGGCTCTGATTAAACTAAAGAGCTTCTGCTCAACAAAAGAAACTATCTTCAGAGTGAACAGATAACCTACAGAATGGGAGAAAATTTTTGCAATCCATCCATCTGACAAAGATCTAATAATCAGAATCTCAAGGAACTTAACAAATGTACAAGAAAAAGCACACAGCCCCATTAAAAAGTGGGCAAAGGACATGAATGGACACTTCTCAAAAGAAGACATACTTGAGGCCAACAAACATGAAAAAAAGCTCAACACCACTGATCATTAGAGAAATGCAAATCAAAACCACAATTAGATACCATCTCACTTCAATCAGAATGGCAGTTATTAAGAAAAAAAAAAGAAAGAAAAGAAAAGAGATGCTGACGAAGTTGTGGAGAAAAAGGAACTCTTTTACTCTGTTGGTTGGAGTATAAATTAATTCAACCATGTGGAAGACAGTGTAGCGATTCCTCAAAGATCTAGAGGCAGAAATACCATTTGACCCAGCAATGTCATTACTGGGTATATACCCAAAAGAATATAAATTATTGTATTATAAAGATACATGCATGCATATGTTCATTGTGGCACTATTCACAATAGCAAAGACATGGAACCAACCTAAATGCCTATCAATGGTAAACTAGATAAAGAAAATACGGTACTTATACACTATGGAATACTACACGGCCATAAAAAAGGAACAAGATCATGTCCTTTGCAGGGACATAGATGGAGTTGGAAGCCATTATGCTCAGCAAACTAATGCAGGAAGAGAAAACCAAACACTGCATGTTCTCACTTATAAGTGGGAGCTGAATGATGAGAACACATAGACACATAGTAGGGTACAACACATACTGGGGCCTGTAAGTCAGGGTTTGGAGAAAAAGAGAGAGCATCAGGAAGAATAGCTAACGGAAGCTAGGCTTAATACATAGGTGATGGGATGGTCTTTGCAGCAAACCACCATGGCACACGTTTACCTATGTAACAAACCTGCGCATCCTGCACATGTACCTATGAACTTAAAATTAAACTTGAAGAAAAAAAAATTAAGCTGGCCAAAAAGAAAAAAAGAAAAAAAAAGAAAAGAAATTGTAATTAGCTTGGTCTTCTTTCCCAAGATGCTTTCTCTAAAAATGGTTCCTATTATAAATGAATGGTATTGTAAGACCTTTAATTTTCCCTTCTGTCTTGTTTGTTATAAAACTATCTAAAAATTTGGCATAAATTTTGTAATAATCTTGTATTTAAAAATTACTTTTGGCATCAAGATTTTGCATTGAGGTCTCAGAATATTCTATTTATTATATCCCATCCACAGATTTGACTGCATTTTTAAAATTTAATTATAAAAGAAACAATGTTGATTATAGAAACTTTATAAAATACAATGTGGCAGAGACAGAACTTTCTGGAATTTGCCCAGTATGTACAAAGATATTTGTCATAGTATTTTATGGTACTCAAAATTATTATAAAATGAATATTCAACAGTATAAAAAGTGCATATCTTTATACACTATTGCCAATGCATATCTCCAACACTTTCTTTGAAACTAGAATAATTTAATAAATTGGCTATTTTAAAAGTGGAGATCTATTACTCTCCATGTGAATTTTATAAATATATATTTCCACAAGCAATTATAGCATTGTCAACCTCACTACTTTCAGAATAAATGTAATAATTTCAACATTTATCCACAAGGCAGACAAAAGCGGTATTTACTGCTGTTTAATTTGTATTTATTTCATGAATATGAAGAATAAGACTTTTATGCAGTTAGTAATTCAGCAGTTAACTCTACTGGCCTCAAAGAATGGGCTGATTAGAAAACATGATTACTAATGCAAAAAATGTTTTCAGCAAGCAAACTTCTGTGGATATAAGGAGGCATGTGGGAACTTTGGAGTGGTGCATAATATTCTGTATCTTGATTGTGAGTGGTAATTATACAGAATCTGTTGGAATCTGTTGAACAATGTTGTTAAAATGGGTGAATTATAAATCAATAAACTTGGCCTTTTAAAAAAAGATCAAGGCTATGCATATATATATAATATTGTCATTCTATGCATATTGGTAACCCCCAAAATGAGAAATTAAAATCATGAGACAAAATTAAAATATATAAATCAGGAAATCATTTCAAAAATGAAAGATGACTTGAATATACAGATTGAAAGTGTACATTGTACCCCAGTAAAAAACTGACACAGAATAATCAGTAAAAATACCTATTAGAAAAATAAGTTCTTTGCTCATAATGAGGCCAGGCAGAAGAAAAATGCTATAGAAATCATAGATAAACATTTGCAAAGCTGCTACTGCTATTGTACCAGTATTAAAATGTGTTCTACCTTGCATCTTTCACTGTATTTATGACAGATTTTATATTGTCACCATTTGAGAGAGAACTCTGTAAGTTGAGAGAACTCTGTAAGTGCTATGGCTTCATTAAACTATTGCTTGTCATATGTTTCCAATGTTTACTTTGAGACTAAATGGCAACCAGAGAATGTGAACAACCAAGGTGTATCTGGTTCTGTTTTAAAATAAAGATTAATAAAATCTGTCAGGAAAAAGAAGAAATAAAATACCCATTTTACTATAGTTACTGAGCTTTAAGATAAACAAAACATATCAGGTAAAAATTAAGTCATCTTTATGGCAGGAAAATTAAGCTATTAAAGTTTTAAAACTATTGAATTTAAAGGAGCTAATTCATAGTACCTAATGTGTAGTAGTTAATTCATTCAATAAATGTTTGTTCCAGAAGTCATTTTTTTCACAGAATTGATGTATATCTAATATCTTCTAAGTACATTATTATTTGTAATACCTAAAGAAAATGAAAATTCATTTCACAAATTTTGATGAACAGAACTTAAAATATACAATGAAATATGAATGTTATAGATGCAATCAAAATTTTGCATGCAGTAAGTGTAAATCTTGCATTGTTTTCAGGACATGCAAACTTGTTAGGAGGACAGCTGACAGGAAGAATGATAGATTTGGCAGGAGAACATTTTTAAGGTAGTTAAGGCAAGAGTCCAGAAATTAAACCTGAAATATACCAGCAAAATCAAATAAACCTAAGACATACTTTATTTGGAAGCTTAAGTAGAATTCAGCTACGTAAGGTTGTAATAAACTAGAAAATCAAAACAAGTTGGGAAGCATAGGGTGCTAATGCCGATCAGGTTGGTCAGTCTTGGAGAGCCTAGATGACCAGGCAAGTATCACCTCAACACTTGTGCTTCTCATGGAGGATCCCACCTGCCAGAGATGGGGAGCTTCCCCTTGAAGGCACATATCTTCATCTTGTGAAAGACCAGCCACTCTGCTTTCTTAATGAGAAGTCATCTTTTAATCTTCTTGAGCCTATAAGAAAGCTTCCTTGAGAAAAAATGGAAGTTTCTATTCTTAGAAGATTTCAAACTTCAATAATTTTCGCCAAAAGGCTCATCTGATTAACTGGTCATAATTAATAAAGCTGATCCTAACTGTTCAGTTGCTTAATTCCACTCCAAAGTCATACATCCCATTTTTGTAGTATAAAACTGTCATTGCATTCCAGCTTGCTCTTTCATTTCTTCAGGCAGCTAGAATTATCTCTTTCTGTACTTAAAAAAAGTATAGGCATATTGTGAAACATTATTGTCTTGATATAAAATTTGACAACCCCACATTTTCTCCATTTCTTTCTTTGATGGGTTGGGTTGGCACATTATTGTTCTGCTTGCCTTTATTCGGGGCATTTTCAATTTCTCTTCTGCATAGGTAAGTGATATGATGATGTTCCAGGTGACTGGATAGTTTGCCATCCTTAAACACATAATTTCCTACTTGGCTTCCCTGTGCCAAGTAGACTTGAACATATTCAATACATCGAAGTACAGAGAAGAGGATTTCCTCCATTTGCATTTTAAATATTTCATTATCACATGTACCTTACATAAATCTTCATCATTCCCTCTGTCCATCTAAAATAAGGTTACACTCTCTGTAAGTCCAGAGAGTAAAACTACAGCTCACCAAAGAGGTCAAATGTGAAGCATTCTAGCTGAACTAGATGTTGCCCTTAAGTAAAACCAGCCTTTGAATTTTACCCCATATTGTTTATAAAATTTCCCTTTCCTGCCTCAGAAATTATAGAACAAATGTAATATTACTTTGATTAACATTGCAATGTGTTCTTGTCATCATTATGAATATCAACTATTTTTAATATGTAGATGTAGCCAATAGTAAAGATGTAAGTACATCTGTAAAAACTTTAAAACATTTGAAACAGAAATTAAATCTGGAATACCTTGTATTAGGATATGCCAGATATTGACGAGGGAAGGAATTCAGGAGAGACTTGTACAGCTCAGTCTTTCACTTGACAAAATCTTTCCTAGGCCACCACTTCTGTATGTTGGGTCTTAAGAAGGAAGAGACAGTTGTCCAGGCTGGACTGCCACTGAGCCACTCAGATCTCTGACATTCTTGGGACTCTTGCCTGCTTCATGAACAAAGGATTTTGATGATATTTCTGTTATTGGATACTCTTGCATCCAAACATTGATTGCAAATATGCTGAGGTTTTTAGCATACAACTTCAACAAATTATACATTTCATTTTTAAAAACACTTTGGCAAAACATGTTCTTAATGTAAATGAATTTTTGTTGCTAAGCTTACATGAATATACAACCACTTCAAGAGATCTATATATTTCACTTCTCAGTTGCTGAAATGCGCAAGATGTTCAAAGAGGCAATTTCTCCTCTGGTCAATGCATCTAAATTTAATTACTTCCCAAAGGTTTCACTTCCAAATACCATCATATGGGGGTTAGGACTTCAACACATGAATTTGGGAGGATGCAAGGACACAAACGTCCAGTCCACAGCACCATCACATAATCAAATTCTTTAGAAGAACAATAAACATCACAGGTCTAGGCTTGCTTTTTTTTTTTTTTTTTGAGACAGGGTCTTAGTCTGTCACCCACGCTGGAGAATGCAATGAAGTGATCAGGACTCATGGCAGCACTGACTTCCTAGACTCAAGTGATCCTCCCACCTCAGCCTCCCAAGTTGGCACTACACACATGCCCACCACCATATTCAGTTAATTTTTAAATAATTTTTTGTAGAGATGGGGTTTCACCATGTTGCCCAGGCTGGTCGCAAACTCCTGGGCTCAAGCAAACCACCCACCTCCCAAACTTCTGGGATTATAGGTGTGAGCCACCGTGCCTGCCCCTAGCTTCACTTATTCTTCACATGACACCCTTCTGATGGACTTCTCTTCCATGGTATTTCTCTCTGTTTATCTACCTCCAGCTAATTCAATGTATATGTTCATATTAGACCTATTCCATTTGCAGAGGAGTTTTTCCTTCCATCAACAAAGTAGAGAACATAAACTACTCGTCCCACTTCCTCTAACTGGAATTGGCTTCTTATCTTTGTTTTGGATCCCTTACCTCAATTTCCCTCTTGTAATCTATGCATTGATCAGAGGAGAAATTGTCTTTGAACATCATGTGTGTTTCAGCAACTGAGAAGTGAAATATAGATCCCTTGAGGTGGTGGTTGTATATTCATGCAAGCTTAGCAATAAAAAATCATTTTCATTGTGAACATGTTTTGCTAAAGTATTTTTTTAAAGGAAATGTATAATCTCTTGAAGTCGCATGCTAAAAGCTTCAGCATATATGCAACCAGTGTTTGAATGAAAGAGTATCCAATAACAGAAATATCACCAAAATCCTCTGTTAACTAAACAGGCAGGGGTCCTGAGAGTGTCAGAAGTCTGGGCGGTTCTGTGGCAGTTCAAGCTGGTCAACTGTCTCTCCTTTTCCTTCCAACATAGACAAGTCGGGTTTAAGAGACACTGTGGCCAGTGAAAGACTGAACTGTACAGGCTCTCCTGAATTCCTGGTTTTCCAGAGGGAGGTCCACTGTTATTATAATCCTATTCAGCAGAGATCTAAAATGGGATATTAATTTACAGCGTTCAGAAAATGTCCAAAATCATCCAGAGTAATCTGATCCTTCTTAGATAATCTGTATACATGGTCTTTTGTGTTTCCAGACTGGAAAATTAAAATCAAACACAATGGTGCTGGAGGCATTTAATTCTCAGATCTTCTACTACACTGTGAGAAGCATAAGATTTAGTGTGGCCCTCTTCCTTCATTATGGGAGTAATGTGACCTAAAAAAAAATTGTTTCTAGCTAACACACTTTTTGCTTCCCTAAATATACCATTTGTTCAACAAGCACTCAACTCTCACTAGCTTTCCACCCTGCCATATCACGTATCTTTTATTGCCCTCTGTGGCAGGTGTGATAGCAGCTTTTTATTCTTCCTTTTCTTTCTGTCATATTCCTGGAAATGCCAACCCCCTTGCCTCTCCCTCACTGATAAGTAGTTCTATAGACCTGTCACATCTCATGCAAGTCTTTGCTTTGTTGAAAGAACTTGGGACTCCATCCATGGTACTCCTGCAATAGCAATGTCAGCTGCAAAAAGAAGCAAGAAAAGTGTCTGCCCTCTGGGAGCCTTTCCACAGAGAACAGGCAGCAGCAGGGGTCGGCAGACAGGGACTAGGCCAGCCAAGGGAAGCCTGGGCCAGCCACGCTCAACCTGAGCTGAAATTTCATGTGACTCGGCCCCGTAGAAGCATTTGTGGATTAGAGAGGCCAGCTGGAAACAAATAATCACTCTGGTATATAAGCTTCTGTGAACTTCTAGGCTAATTTACCAAATAAAAATAATGTGGTTAAAATCTTTATGCTACTTGGTAATGCTTGATTTGGAAAGCACAGAGGCATAAAGATTTTTTTTTTCAAATTATCTTCGCTTTATCATTTCTTAGATTATTTGTACCAGCAATTCTAGACACATAAACTGCTGTCAGAGTACTCTTTCTAAGACACAAATGAGATGATGTAATTCTACTGTGTAAATACTGAAGTGGCTCACATATCCCTTTAAGACAAAGCAATTTTCCCTGCTTACCCATAGTACACAAGGCCCTGTAATGTCTCCCTTTCCAGCCTCATCTCCTGCTGCTCCTTCATATGACCCTTTAATCTAGAATGAAGATCAACCCAAATCTCTAATTCCCCTGTCTCACTGTGCTCCTCGCACCCCTGTCCCTCAATTTTCCTCTTGTAATCTATGCATTGATCAGAGGAGAAATTGTCTTTGAACATCATGTGTGTTTCAGCAACTGAGAAGTGAAATATAGATCCCTTGAGGTGGTGGTTGTATATTCATGCAAGCTTAGCAATAAAAAATCATTTTCATTGTGAACATGTTTTGCTAAAGTATTTTTTTTAAAGGAAATGTATAATTTGTTGAAGTCGCATGCTAAAAACGTCAGCATATATGCAACCAGTGTTTGAATGAAAGAGTATCCAATAACAGATAACAGATAGGTTATCTTAGCAGGTAAAGCACCTAGAGTGTGCTACTATTTTGACATTTATTCTGTACTTAATGATCTGCCGATTGGTTGGCATGTGCCACAAGAGTATAAATTATTTGAGAGCAGAAAAAGCCTCCTATGGCTCAGTAACCACAGTACAGTACTTGATAGCATCTCATTAAATGTTGGTTGAATTAATGAATGAATGATGATGAGAAATTACTCACCAAAGTTAACTTGTCTTTTGAATACCCTGCTAATTAAGTTAGCTCTGTGGTCAAGAGCAGAATATAGCATAGTTACACACACATCTGGAGAAAAAATTTTTGAGTTATTTTTTTCAAAATAGTTAAAAGAAAATGTAACTTTTGCTCAAACAAAGCAATTCTCAGTTTAAATAATTATTCACCTCAGGGGTTCCTCAAACAGCAAGTACTTCTAGTGTGTTTAAGGTTTTAAAATGATTAACTACAGGAGTACTAGCAGTAAGAGAGAGGATTTTAACAGGAAAATCCAACACCTATTGAAAATAAACCAAATGAAAAGAACATGCAAATGACAATTAAATATGCCTCTGAAGCATTAATCAAGGAAAATATAATTCAGTTTCCATGTTTGATTTGCACACATTTCAGAAAAATGCCCATTGTGTAAAACAAAGACGAATCAGAATTCCCAATTTCCCAGAAGAATTTCTACATGTAAACTCCTAGAAGTAAGATTTATGGTGTGTTACTTTTCTGCTTGTGCATATCAATGATATTGAAATAACCTATGTTTGTGTCTGTTTTCCAAAGGCTATGACATTTTTAAGATGCTGGACTATGTGTTATTTATGTTTGTATAACCAGGACTTAACACAGTGCCTGGCACTTAGCAGATATTTTAGGTTTATTGAACTGAACTCTATATTAGAATCTTAGTTTTCTATTTAACATGTCACATTCAGCAGACAATATATTTCTCCCTTCAAAAGTCATGTTTTTATACATAATGTGTACTTTCTATCTCCAAAAATCATGGAGTATGCCTGAAAATGCCCTAAAAGTGGGAGTATATATATTTGTTTTCTACCTCTTCAAGCTCCTAGAGAAGAGTCCTGAAAATTTCCTTACACAAAATCATGCCCTCACGTTCTCATGACTATAAAGATTGGACTAATCCCCTTTTAAAAGTCAAATTCAGAGTCTTCATTTGTAATACGTAATGCAAATCTTTAAAAATTAATATAATAAAATACAATATTAAATTTACAGACAATGGTTTTTTTAAGAACAAACTTTTCACTTTGAAAACTGAATATGAAATATTACCTCTTGAATGCATTAGCAAAGCACGGAGAACAAGCATTCCATGGTGGCTGCCTCAGGGTATCAAACCATCTCTAACCCATTTCAGATTCCTACTTATAAAACTGTGGGTGGTAACAATCTGGATACATATTTTGCTTAAATTGTTCATAGATACAACATCTGTCAAACAGCCAACATGCCTGACCCAATTGTACTGAGTAAGCCCTACAGATTATTTGTCAAACAAATTCGGTAATCCAATATTTGTTTCTTTATTTTAAAATTTAATTGGTATGCAAATAGGACAACAAGACAGCATTTGTGCTGGATACAGTTGTCACTTCAGATTCTGGGAATGCTCATTATCATGCTTACAGATGTTTTTTTCCCACCTAACATCTGCCAATACTACCTAAACCCCAGGAAGTCTACAAACCTGTGCAAACTTCCTCTCACTGTGGGTCCCTTTCTCTGTTATCTGTTCCATGCACACTAATTTTGTGCATCTGAGGCCTCTGTTCACCAGAATTATGCCTGCTTCCTAACACTTCTGCCTCCAGAGCTTTAGAGTTGAAATTGAACAGACACAGAGCCAATTTATCATAGGATGGCATGTGTCATGTTCATGGTATTACCAGAGGAACACCTGTATGCACTGTATTTATCCTTTTGTTGTCAGCATGCATGGACCAAGACAACACAGGATAAACAAACTATTACATTTTTAATAATATAATATATGCTTTAAAAATAGAACATTAAATACAATTGACTTCAAAATGTGGTGCTAGATCATTCTGCTTAAGACTAGAATTTCTTTGTCAAATCATCATCTGTCATTCAGGAATCCATCCTATTGAAATGAGAATAACAAAACAAAAGCATTGGAATATATTCCCTCAAAAAAAAGATAACACTTTGCTCAAACCAACGATTTATTTCTTCTATCTATTTCACTTTCACATAAATTCTAATCATGCCTAATGATGACTTTATCATGAATACAATACAAATTCACATCATGTGGCTTTTGTCAACAAATATAAATATCCAAGAGCCTCCTCATTCCATCTTTCACTCACTAATGTATGTATTTTTAACGTCCTAATGATGCAT
This sequence comes from Homo sapiens, assembly GCF_000001405.40. NCBI lineage: Eukaryota > Metazoa > Chordata > Mammalia > Primates > Hominidae > Homo > Homo sapiens. Next base: position 91,667,450 of record NC_000005.10, on the reverse strand, counting down.
CTCTTACTGTGTTTTCTAGATCAAACATAAAGCAAACATATACAGATACAGTAATGTTTCAAGCATAAACCTAATAGCCGAAAGGAAAGAGATTTTCATTTGAACAAAGTTTAATAAAAAGCCCAAAACTTGAGGCTAAACTTTAAACTGTGAAACTGGCTGATAACAGAGCAAAATCTTCTAACATCTCTACAAAGTTCTACATTTTATCGGGAACAAACATTTGTTCATGCCAAACCTGGCATCTAGTTTATTTCAATGTGTAATTAATTTTGATTTCCATCTTTCCTCCAGTTACTATTTTAACATTTGCAAATATGCTCCTCAAAGTAAGAGTAAATAAGACCTAAATGCTAGTACTTTTTAGAATGTATTAATATGTGATTGTCAGGAATACATATGCAAAAGAAAAACACATATGCAAAACACAATACTGTGTATATACAAATATAATAACAAACTTCAGTTAAGGGCTTAGCCTTTCTCACAGTTCTAATGATGGGTTTGCTAGACTGAGCACAAACCTTTACTAAACAGTGCTACTCAAGGAATATTTTATGAATATTAATACTTATTAATTACCAGAAGTATTGGTCAGAATCCAACAGCAGGACTCAAAAAATAGTTGGCTAATTCAAAAAAATGGAATAAATGCTGACAAAAAGACAATTTACAAGATTTGGGCAGGATTAGGAAACCAATAATGGATGGTTGAATGACCCAAATACTCTCAAGAACAGGAAGCTATTACCACCTCTGGGCCTGAAAGGGCAAGGAGAGAGATGTATTAACAGAACCCTGATGAAGGGTTTGACCAAAGAAGCAGTGGTCTTAGTGAAAAACCTAGCTACTGACAATTCTCAGCCCAGCAGGGAAGAAACAGATGAAATAAATACTCAAACTGTTCCTTCCTCTACCTGTCCATATTTCACACTGCTTTCCATTGGAAAAATCCAATAGGAAGCTGGAATTTAAGGAAGCACAGGTGAAGTCATGGCACAAAGAAAAGTAAAGACAGGTGGAAAGCAAACCTACTGGGGCCGGTGAAAAACAGCACATTGATCTCTCAGTGGTGTGGCTTTCACACATAACCAAATGATACAACCTCAAGGACCTCATCAAAACCATGTCTTAAATCCCTTTATATGCGATTCAGATGAACTCCACAAGTGAAATTAGAAAGATACTGTACATGCCAGAAGCTGAAGACTAAATCACCATTATCTCAAACAAATTCATTTTCAGTGGGGACTTCCAGAGTCCCAGTACCAAACTGCTGAGCTTCTGTTGGCCCAGAGACTTTTGGATGTCTGGTTATCTCTAGCCAAGGAAAAAAGCATGGTACCAAGGCTAGAAAATCCTACTCATAACACATTTCTAGAATAACATTATGGGCTCTCTTCTTATAAGATATAAAGACCATTTCTGTTTGAGTGGCTCTCAAGAGAGTTTTAGGGCAGTTTACAAATACATCTAGCTCTTTAACCTAGAATTGACTATTATCTGGCTTCAACATCCCTTTTCCACTTCCATCTTGCATTTTGAACAACACTTTTGTTAAGAACTTTCCACTCTAGGCACTTTATTAGGAATTTTCACATACATTATCTCAATTAATTCTCACAACAAATGGAAATGATATTTCCCATTTTATGTATTTTCTGAGACTCAGAGAGATGAAGTAGCTTCCCTGAGCTTACAGAACTATGACTAGAACCTGAATTCCATGTCCATGATGTATACTTCAAGCCTACTTTCCCGTGCTTGTAGTTAGGATGGTTCAGTCACTCTTTCTTGCCAAAATAGGCCATGCAATTTTATAACTCTGTACAACTCATACTTTAACCTGTAAAGTACTTCCTACCATCGTAGCCTAACAGGCTTTGGACAGAGATTTGTGAAACACCTACTTTGTGCCAAAGTGGTAGGCAACAGGAGTACAAAAATGAGTAAACATAGAATCTCTGCAGTTAAGCAATACTGGACTAATGATGGATACAAACTATTCTTGAACAGTCTGCTCAAATTCCTCCTCCATGGTGATTCTTTCTCCAGCCTAAAGTCAAGTATCTTCCCCACTGATCCTCAGAGGATGAATATATTTGGCACTAACCATTCAGAACTTTGTGCCCTTTTTACCTATTTACCATCGCAACAACTAGACTATGTTCAATTATGCCTCTCTATATACCCTTCACTGAAACTTTTCTCACTCCTCAAAGTAAGCACTTGGTAACAAGCCTTCATTCAGGAAATATTTACTGAGTATCTGTGAGGTCCTAGGCACCATATTAAGTTCAGAAATAACTGGTAGAGAAAAACACATGATTCTTTTCCAGGAACCCCTCTAGAAAATTGTGTAGTTTCTTGGAATATATGGACATAGAGTAGGCATTTATAATACAATATAATCGACCTTATAAGACTGAAGCAAACATTCTTGTTTGTCTCCCTAACTCCGTAAAGAGGGCCACAGGCCTTGAGGATAGGCATAAAACTTGCATGCCCTACCATCTTCAAGAAGCCTCATAATAAAAGGACGGAGAGTATCAAATATGTTACAACACAGCCAATGTCTTGAAATCTTTAATGGCCTAAATGTGTTGTTTTTGATTAAATCCAATCTCAGTGCTCTTAGAAAGGAATTAAAGGTCTGTTCTTCACAGAGGCCAAAAAATAATCACATGTTTTATATTTTTTAATAATATCATTTATAATCAAAAGAATCTATAAGGTCAACAGTTATTTCTATGTGTTCTTTAATAGGTACTTCTTTGAAACATTGAAGTTTATGAAAGACCATGAGGGTTTATGAGGTTAAAGCTTCTATTCTTTCTGAGTGGACATGTTATGTTAATTACACACATGCCAAATATTCAGATACATAAAACTCAGTAAAAATTCTAACAATCTTTCACATGAACAGTCATAGAAAATATAACATTTTTAAGCAACATAAGACATGATTTGCCCCAAAATTTATATTTGTGTTATAGAATGTAAATATACCAGATTAAGCTCAAGTTTAATATTCTTAACTTCATTCACTCAGAGCAGATGAATATTTACCGTGTTCCTACTTGTAAGCAATGATTTTCATTCATTAAGCAGCAAAAGCACTTCTTTCTGCAAGAATGTAGTGAGCCAGAAACAACAGAAATGAGTATTTGTATTATTATGTACATAAACATATTGACTTTGAAAAAATTAACTTGTGGATCAATAAGGGAGAAATTCATTACACCAATCAACCCCAAGTAACTAGAACTAAACAAGATGCATCAGTCTAAGTTGAAGCAGAATTAACTTCAGTACTGCCATAGCCTAAAACAAACCATAAAATGAAATCATCACATTGTACCAGGAAATTTTGCATAAACAAATCTGATAGATTTGAGTATGTTAGGGCTGCATGTATACCAGCTTCTCAGCCATATGAAAAATGTTGAGATCAATGGATGCTGATGAGCAATATTTAAATGAATTTCTAAATGACTATAATAAAAAATTTAGTTGACTCAACCCCTGCTGTTCTGGGCTGTAAAGTTATGAGCTCTATTTACCTGAAAGCATGTATGCCTATTAGACTTGGCAGGAGTTTCTCAACCTTGGTATTAAGTAGAATATCTATTTAAAATGAACCAAGCGTCAGGCTGTATCAAGTCTGTTACTTCAGGCTGAGATAAAGCAGCATGCTTACCTCATGTACATGAATGCAAAGAGCAGGAGAGAATAAATCTTTGTAGCTTTTCTTAATCTTCTTTGTGAGCTAAAACTTTTTATAAAATGTGGCTGACATCAGAAGAATATAGCAAGTTTACTTTCACAGGTATCAACTATAAAATGTCTAAATGAAAAGTGACACAACAAAGAGCTGGATGAATTAAAAGTATATAAATTGAAGAGTTTATTTGTTGGGGGGAGAAGCTGAAACCAGAAGGGAGCACCTTCTTAAACAGGAAGTTACTGCAAAGGGGTATAATCTGTATGAGAAGAAAAAAATGAAGGTAGAATATTGGGATGGGAAAGAGATTTAGCACTCAATATCATCAGATGTAATATACCAACAATAGGTGGAAAACAAGTTGATTAATACTCAAGAGTAGGACCAAATCATACAAATGAGCAGAACTGAAGGCAGGAGAGAATCACAGAGAAATGAGAAGCAGGATGTGGAGCAATGGGGATGACAAGGATTTAATAATAGAGACTAGGCCTGAGTTTGTCTTCTATTGGCACCAGAGGATATTGAAAGTACAAATGTTTATCAGGTTACGATAAAGGCAATATTAGTCCATAATTGGCAATATAAAAAGGGACAAATATTCTTGAAAAAAGAAAAAAATACAAGCAGTAAGTAGAAATGACTGTACCAAAATCCAATATAGCAAAAAGTGGGCTTATAGGCTAAGTCATTTTTGCAACATTAAAGTAATTATCTATTACAAACAGTATAAATCTAAATGGATGTGAAGTATAGTATTTCCAGTGTATCAGAGTACAAATCTGCATTAAAAAATACATCTTTCAAAAAGCTTCCACACCTTTCTGGAGGCCAAGAAAAATCTGTGGAGCTAATTGAAGAAGGAGTGAAATCTGTAAGACATTAGTCTCATATTTATCATCAACAGAAATCAAACCAGGGTAGAAAAAGAATTTGAAAATGATATGAAATACGGCTAAAGAGAATGGTTGATAGTGAACTCAAAGACAAGGGCCGAAAATACAATGAAATGATGTATATTAAGGTGATTTGTAAACTATATAGTATATGCTAATACTAAGCATTTTTTTCCTAAATAGACCAGCAAATAGTGAGAAGAAACAAAAAATAAATAACTCTCAAATGGAGTTTATCCTTCTACTTCTAGTAATAAAATATTAATTTGGAGATCAAAAAAATATGTAGATGCTTTTGTTTTTGCAGAAAATGTAAAAGAAAGTTCCAATGAATGTTCGAAAATAGCAAAACTAGAAGTAAAAAATTGATATCAGAGCACCAATCTGTCAACATGTATTTATGGATTTTTCTCTGTGAACCCTGTACTCTGCTTTGTGATGTGAAAAGTATTATAAAACTCCTTCTGGCAAAAGAAGGGTCAAGTATGGCTGAGCACCACTTCCGATGAGTCACTTGAGAACTGTGGAGATAGCAGTAACTTTGTTAGACCAGATAGATAGGACTGGCCATTTGATCAATCCATGTGAGAGCTAACTAATTTCTAGGAAAAAAAATAGCACCACACAAGTAGAGAGAATAATAAGATTAGAGGACTTATACTCTGCACTCTCTCCAAGTAACTGTGTCCCTCTGCCAGTCACAGCTCCTGTTGGACCACAACTCTTTATCTGGGTTTGGGGAACAACTTCCTCTACCTGTCCCAACAGGCCTAGCATATGGTACTGAACTCCTTTGTTATTAGCCCTAGGATGCAGCAGCATCCCTTAGGCTTCCTTGCCCATACCTTTACAAAAAGACTCTTCAATAAAGTCTCTTAAAATTTTGCAATGTGAGTGGCTGACTGTTTCTGTCCAGAACCCTGACTGATACAGTATTTAACAACTTTTGTTGTCAAGGAGTTTATGATCCTGAGAAAGCAGAAATCACTTCTATAAAATAGTGAGAAAGCAATGTAAGACTTCTGTAATAAAGTCCTATGTGATGTAGCAGAGACTAAATTCTGAGAAGAGAAGTAAGTGTGAACCAAATAGTTACAGAAGCTTTAGGGAGGATTTCTTATTCTTGAAAATTAGCATGAATTTCAAAAGAGAGAGAGAAAAGATAAAAAGAATGAATTCCAAGCTAGAAGAAAAATCACTCAGTGAAAAAAGTTCAGTCCTTGCAGGACTATAAATTGTTATAATTTATAATACATATACCTGTGTACATTATGGAATTATTAAATCAGGCCAATTATCATATGATTCTCTGCAAAATAATGCAGAGATAAATAACTACAGAAATAAAAACAGAGAGAGAATCATAGATTGAAAATTAGGGTAGCCATATATCCAGGTTGTTCAACACAACGCCATTTCTTAATTATTTCCCCAGTATAATTTATTAACGGTTATAATTATATAGTAATGCTTTTGAGTGCTCTCTCTGTCTCTCTCTGTCTCTCTCTCTCCTCTCTTTCTCTCTCTCTGTATATATGTATAAAGTTATTTTGAATTCCTGAACAAAGCATTATGATAAAAGAAATATTTTACCAAGATTCCTTTGGCAATGGAATGCAATCTGGACTTCAGATAGGAAGTTCAGAGAATAATGTAGTTTAAAAAGAGAACAATTTGAGGCCTGGCACGGTGGCCAACACCTGTAATCCCAGCTCTTTGGGAGGCCGAGATGGGCAGGTCGCTTGAGCTCAGGAATTCGAGGCCAGACTGGGAAACATGGAAAAACCCCGTCTCTACTAAAAATACAAAAAATTAGCCAGGTGTGGTGGCACATGCCTGTGGTCCCAGCTACTCAGGAGGCTGAGGTGGAAGGACCACTTGAGCCTGGGAGGCAGACGTTGCAGTGAGCTGAGATAGTACCACTGCACTCCAGCCTGGGTGACAGAGTGAAACCCTGACTCAGAAAAAAGAGAACAATTTGATTAAACTGAGTATACTGTGAATGAAAGGAGAAATGTTAAGAAAAACAAATGGTTTTCATAATAAAATTCTATGCACATTCAAAATACAACCAATGGTACTTTGTAACCTCAATTCTATACTAAATTTCATGCCAAAAAAGTCTTACAAGCTAAAGAATTTAAAAGAAATTAAATATTTATTTTATTTATTTATTTATCTACTTAGCTTATTCTTTTCCCCGTTAAGCAGTCTGTTACCCTTTACAATGAATTTCTATTCTCATTTCCCATATTCCCTCTCAGAGACTCGAAGAATCTTGTCTTCCCTTAGTCTTTTCTTTGCTTCAATTCCAACATCCTTTTGGTTTAAATATGCTTTCAAAATGAAAAGTTTTTAACTTTTTTTTTAAGTGTTCACATCAGAAAGATGTGATGTCTTCAGATGATATTTTAATAAATGTCTTTAAATTGTTATTAAAGTAACATCTGCACAAATAATCAGAGCTTATATGGAAAAGCAGATTTCTCCTACTTTATTTCCTCCTCTTAATCCTCAAATTTCACCTTGCAGAGAAAACCTTTCTAATTGTTTTTGTTTTTAATTCCTCATATGGCTACCTTGTGACTTTAAATGATATGCTTAAGCTGTTATCTTATTTTATTAACATCATGTACTATTTACTGAATTCCTCATATGAAATATAAGGATTGAATACACTAATAATATTCTCAGTTTTCTTCCTCTTGTCCTAAAAATATTTGATAGAAGAAAGATTATCTTTAGTTTTTTTTAATTTAGTTAACTTGGTAAATTTAATAATGAATTTAGAATTTTTAAAAATTCCATTGTTGTTTGACTGCTTACCACATCAGATGAGAATGTACTACTTCAATCCTTCTTCCCCACATTTCACCATAGTTCCTGCTTTCTGTAAGTTATACTTTTACTTTTGACTTTTAAATTATCAAGGTTGTTTGTATTTACATTAAATTTTAAACCATGATGGATTTTCATCAAGCTTTGGCTATAGGTTAATAAAATTCTAAAACCAATAAACTAGATCTAATATAATTTTTGTTTACTATAAGGCCTCATGGCTTGTACACATTGTCTTTTGTTCTCTACGTATGAAATATCAGTCTTGGCCTGATATTGAAGGAGAATTCTCCTAGCAACAATGATAAATAAATGTCCTGTTCTTGCATTTCTCCAAGTGACTAAAATCATGCCATATATTAGTTTACTGTATTTTGAACTATGACTTCATTGCAAAGACAGAATATTTGATTGTGATATATTGTTTTTCCATGGAGAAATTAAGATATCTTTAATAAATGCTCAAGATTATTCAGACTCTCAATATACCATTTCTCACATGGGAACTTATTTTTTCTAAAGACTACTCTCCTCTAGCATATATATGGTTGCCAATAAGGCCTCAGGAAATTACAGATTAGAACACTGAGTTAAGTCAATTCCATCATGCATTTCTTGCCAACCCACTTACATTGAGTTCCTTTTTCAGTTTCTACACATTGTTACTCTGCTGAAAGAAATACTCAAACATCAGATTAAAGATGATACAAACAATATAGTCTTAAAAATTCATATATATATATATGCATACACTAGAAATTATATTTTTACTAGAAAATCACCAAATATTTAGAAATAAAGAAACACACTTCCAAAAAAGATCCTTATGTCAAAGAAGAAATCTCAATGTAAATTTTAAAATTTGTAAGTGAATAATAATGGGGGCCGGCATGTAGAAAAAACAAAATAAAGAGAGAGAGTACTTATGTATTAACAAACCCTAAAACATTCCCTAGTGGGCACAAATTGCCAGCCTGTATACCAGTGCTATACATGCTGATTAACCTAAAATGGATAACATACACACATTTGGGCTCTACAAGCAGAGACTTACTTTAATCTCAGCATATCTAGGGTAGAGCAAAGACTCAGTGCTTCTTAAATTCTCAAGCAATTCTGATATGTTATGTTTTAGAACCACTGGATTGGAGTAACATTACCCAAATTGTGTAGCATAGACCATTGAAAGTTATTGCCAAGTGCTATAAAAAAAAAAAAAAAACTATTGTCTAGGCACTAAAGAAATAAATGTCTTGCAAAAAATTTTGAAATATTTTTAAATGCGTTACTGAATTGACAGTGGGCTTTACCCCAGCCCCCAACAATCAAAAACTAAAACTATTCCTTTTTTCAATTGAAAGTGAACTGAACTGAAAAGCTTACAAATTACTATCTACAACAACTATTTCAAAGATTCAGGAAATTTGTTTACTCTTTTTTTTAGGGGGTACATGTGCAAGTTTGTTACATGAGTATAATAATTGTTAATGGTTTGTTACATGGGTATATGGGTATATATAATGGTTATCGGGGAAACCAGCCCCCAATATTTCAACATATGTTCTATTTTCCCTAGGTGTCAGTCAGTCTGAGAAATAAAAAGAAAGAGTACAAAGAGAGGAATTTTACAGCTGGGCCTCCAGGAGTGACATCACATATCAGTAGGTCTGTGATGTCCGCTTGAGCCACAAAACCAGCAGGTTTTTATTAAGGACTTTAAAAGGGGATGGGGTGTACGAACAGGGATTAGGTCACAAAGACCACATGCTTTAAAGGGCAATAAAGATCACAAGGCAAAGGGCAAAATTAGAATTACTGATGAGGGTCTATGTTCAGCTGTGCACATATTGTCTTGATAAACATCTTTAACAACAGAAAACATGGTTCAATAGCAGAGAACAGGTCTGACCTCGAATTTACCAGGGCAGGATATTTTTCCCAACCCTAATAAGCCTGAGGGTACTGCAGGAGACCAGGGTGTATTTCAGCTCTTATCTCATCTGCATAAGACACACACTCCCAGAGCGGCCGTTTATAGACCTCCCCCCAGGAAGGCATTCCTTCCCCAAGGTATTAATTATTAATATTCCTTGCTGGGAAAAGAATTCAGCAATATCTCTCCTACTTGCATGTCCATTTATAGGCGCTCTGTGAGAAGAAAAATATGGCTCTATTATTCCCGACCCCACAGGCAGTCAGACCTTTAGTTGTCTTCCCTTGTTCCCTAAAATCACTGTTATTCTATTCATTTTCAAGGTGCACTGATTTCATATTGTTCAAACACCCATGTTTTACAATCAGATTTCATATTGTTCAAACACACATGTTCTTCAATCAATTTGTACAATAGTGGTCCTTAGGTGACGTACATTCTCAGCTGACGAAGATAACAGGATTAAGAGATTAAAGTAAAGACAGGCATAAGAAATTATAAGAGTATTATTTGGGAACTGATAAATGTCCATGAAATCTTCACAATTTATATTCGGAGATTGAAGTAAAGACAGGCATAAGAAATTATAAAAGTATTAATTTTGGGAACTGATAAATGTCCATTAAATCTTCACAATTTATGTTCCTCTGCCACGGCTCCAGCTGGTTCCTCCATTCAGGGTCCCTGACTTCCCGCAACAATGGTGAAGTCTGCACTTTTCATGTAACCATAACCCAAATACTGTACATTATACAAGTTAGGTAATCTCTCAACTCTAATCCCTCTCCCATGGCTCCTACCTTTCCAAATCTTTAATGCTACTATTCCACTCTTTGTTTCCATGTGTATACATTAGTTAGCTCTCACTTATATGTGAGACCATGCCATGCAGTATTTGACTGTTTCTGAGTCATTTCACTTAAGATAATGATGCCCCGTTCCATCCATGTTGCTGCAAAAGACATGATGTCATTCTTTCTTATGGCTAAGTAATATTCCATGCTGTATATACACCACATTTTCTTTATCCAGTCCTCCATTGATAGACACATAGGTTGATTCCATATCTTTGCTATTGTGAATAGTGCTGTAGTAAACATATGAGTGCAGGTATATTTTTAATGTAACAATTTCCTTTTTGAGGGAAGTAGATACCCAGCATTAGGATTGATGGGTCAAATTGTAGTTTATTTTTAGTTATTTGAGAAATCTCCATACAGTTTTATATAGGAGTTGTACTAATTTACAGTCCCATCAACAGAATAGAATTCCCTTTTCTCCTCATCCTCACCAACATCTCTGTTAATTTTGACTTTTTAACAATAACCATTCTGACTCATGTAAGGTGGTATCTCATTGTGATTTAATGTACATTTCTTCGATGATAGCGATGGTGACATTTTTTATGATTGTTGGACTTTCATATGTCTTCTTTTGAAAAATGTCTGTTCATGATTTTTTCCCACTTTTAATGATGTTATTTTTTTCTGTTGAATTGTGTGAGTCCTTGTAAATTCCAGATATTAATTATTTTCATTATTATTATTTTTTGAGATGGAGTCTCACTCTGTCACCCAGGCTGGAGTGCAGTGGCATGCTCTCAGCTCACTGCAACCCCTGCCACAGGTTCAAGCGATTGTCATGCCTCAGCCTCCTCTGAGTAGCTGGGATTAGAGGTGTGCACCACCACGCCTGGCAAACTTTTGTATTTTTAGTAGAGACACAGTTTCATCATGTTGCATGTTGGTCAGGCTGGTCTCAAACTCCTGGCCTTAAGCAATCTGCCTGCCTTGGCCTCCCAAAGTGCTGGGATTACAGGTGTGAGCCAACACTCCCAGCCAGGATATTAATTCTTTGTCACATGCAGTTTAGAAATATTTTCTCTCACTCAGTAGATTGTCCATTTTTCACTCTGTTGATTATGTCTTTTGCTGTGCAGAAGCTTTTTAGTTTAATTAAGTCCATTTGTCTATTTTTGGTTTCGTTGCATTTGCTTTTGAAGTCTCAGTCATGAATTTTTTTCCTAGATCAATGTCCAGAGGAGTTTTCCCTATATTTTCTTCTAGAATATTTATTTCAGGTCTTACATTTAAATCATTAATCCACCTGAAGTTAATTTTTGTATCTGGTGAGATATATGGGTCCAGTTTAATTCTGTGTATGGTTATCCAATTTTCACACTACTACTTATTGAATAGAGTACCCTTTCCTCATTGTAAGTTTTTGTCAACTTTGTCAACAATCAGTTGCCTGTAGGTATTTGACTTTATTTCTGGGTTCTCTATTCTGTTCCATTCGTCTATGTGTCTGTTTTTGTTTTAGTACCATGCTGTTTTGGCTACTATATTTTAAGTCAGGTAATGTGATGCTTCCAGCTTTGTTCTTGTGGCTTAGAATTGCTCTGGATATTTGGGTTATTTTTGGTTCCATATGAATTTTAGAATTGCTTTTTCTAATTCCCTAAAAATTGATCTTGTTACTTTGATAGGAATTTCCTTGAATTTGTAGACTGCTTTAGGTAATTTTAACAGTATTGATTCTCCCAATCCATGAGTATGGGATGTTTTTCCATTTATTTCTGTCTTCTACAATTTCTCTCATCAGTGTTGTGTAGTTTTTCTTATAGAGATCTTTCACTTCATTGGTTAGATGTATCCTAGGTGATTTATTTATTCATTTTTTTTTATTTATTTGTAGCTATCTTATATGGGATTGACTTCTTGATTTGGTTCTCAGTTTGATCATTATTGCTGTACAGAAGTGATACTAATTTTTGCATGTTGATTTTGTATCCTGAAACTTTTCCGAATTCGTTTATCAAATCTAGAGACTTTTGGAGGAGTCTTTTGAGTTTTCTAGGTACAAGATAATATTGTCAGCAAACAGACATAATTTGACTTCCTTTTTTCCAATTTGCATGTCTTTGACTTCTTTCTCTTGCCTGAATGATCTCGCTAGGAATTCCAGTACTATGTTGAATAAGAGTGGTGAAAGTGGATATGCTTGTCTCCTTCCAGTTCTTAGGGAAATGCTTTCAGCTTTTCTCCATTCAGTATGAAACTGGCTGTGCATCTGTCATATAGGGCTGGGTTTTATTATTTTGACATATGCTCCTTCTATGCCTAGTTTGTGGAGGGTTTTCATCAGGAGAGATGCTGACTTTTGTCAAATGCCTTGGTTGCATCTATTGAGATTATCATATGGTTTTTGTTTTAGTTATCTTTATGTGGTGAATCACATTTATTGATGTGCATACATTGAAACATTCTTGCATCTCTGGAATAAAACTCACACGATCATGGTGTATTATCTTTTGATGTGGTGTTGGATTTGGTTTGCTAGTATTTTGTTGAGGATTTTTGCACCTATGTTCATCAGGAACATTGGTCTTTAACTTTTGTGAGTGTGTGTGTTCTTGCCTGGCTTTGGTACCAGGGTGATACTAGCTTCATAGGAGTTAGGGAGGATTTCCTCCTTTTCAGTTTTTTGGAACAGTTTCAATAGGATTTGTACCGGTTTTTCCTTGTATATCTGGTATAATTCAGCTGTGAATCCTTCTTGCTACTCCCGCTCATTTTTGATTGCTTGTGGGGAATATCCTTCAGTCTACAGGAGTTTTGCCAGTTAGGTGGGTTTCTTTCTTTTAATCAGCATGTGATTATATTACGTTTTTTTCTCTATCCACTAATCTATATCTTTTAAGTGGAGCAGTTAATCCATTTACATTTAAAATTAATATTGATATGTCAGGTTTTGTTCCTGTCATAATCACAATGTTACCTAGTTTCTTTACCCTCTCATTTGTGTAATTGTTTTTATAAGATCCATGAGTTTTACACTTTCGTGTGTTTTTACCATGGTGAGTATCAATCTTTTGTTTCCATGTTTAGAATTCTCTCGAGCTTTATTGTAGGACCAATCTAGTGGTAATGAATTTCCTCAGCATTTGTTTGTCTGGGAAAGACTTTGTTTCTCCTTCATTTATGAAGCTTATTCTGGCAAAATACAAAATTTGAGATTGTCCTTTTTTTTCCTTTAAGCACCTTGAAGATAGAATAGAATACAAATCTCTTCTGATTTATTGTAAGATTTCTGCTAAGAAGTGTGCTGTGTCCGATGAAGTTTTCTTTATAGATGACTACTTGCTTTTCTCTTGCTGATTTTAGGATATTTTTCTTTCAGATGAACCTTGGACAATCTGATGACTATATAACATGGTGAGGTCCTTCTTGCAATGTATTTCCCTGGAGTCTCTGAGCCTCTTGTATTTGTGTGTAAATCTATTGCTAAACTATGGAAGTTTTCCTCATTTATATCCTCAAATAGGTGTCCCAGACTATTTCTTTCTCTTCTCCCTCAGGAATACCTATAATTTGTGGGTTTGGATGTTTAAAGTAGTCCCATGGTTCTAGAAGACTTTGCTTATTTTTTAAAATTCTTTTTTTTTTTCTGTATGTCCAGTTGAATTAATTCCAAAGACCTTGTTCAAGTTCTTAGATTCTTTCTTCTGCTTGGTGTAGTTTATTGTTGAAGCTTTCAACTGTATTTGTAATTCCTTCAATAAATTCTTTATTTCTCAATGTTCTAATTTTTTTTAAGAGACAGGGTCTCATTCCGTTGAGTTCAGTATCTGGAGTGCAGTAATGCAATGATAGCTCACTACAGCCTCAGTCTCCTAGGCTCAAGGGATAGAACTGCCTCAGCCTCCCAAGAAGCTGGGACTAGAGGCACACCATCATGCCTGGATACTTGTTAACATTTTTGAAGAGCCAGAATCTCATTATGTTGCCTAGGTTGATCTCCCACTCCTGGCCTCAAGCGAGTCTTCTGTCTCAGCCTCCCAAAGTGTTGGGATTACAGGCATGAGCTATCATGCCAAGCTTAGCTATTTTTAAAATATCTATGTTTTTTGGTAAATTTCTTGCTCATATCCTGGATTGATTTTCTGATTTCTTTGTATTGGTTTTAAACTTTCTCATGGGTCTCATTAAGCTTCTTTAAAATCAATATTTTGAATTTTTTATTTGGTATTTCAAAGATTTCAACTTTGTTAAGTTATACTGCTGGAGAGTTAGTGTGATCCTTTGAGAGTGTCATAACACCCTGTCCTTTCATATTTCCAGAACTGTTACACTATTTCTTCTCATCTGCAGAGGTCTCAGATGCTTATTTCTTTCTGGAGTACTGTTCCCTGTGTCAGCAATTTTTGTATTGGGTTGTATATTTTGACCTCCAAGTCAATAGGTGGTGCTAGTATGTAAGAGCCTCCTGTGGGAGTAACAGAATGGTTTATGCTTGATCTTTGTTTACCAGGAGAAACTCTCCTGTGCTTCAGGCAGTGAGCTAATCTGTGGGATTCCTAGTGGCCTAGGCTTGACAGAGCATTGGCTAAGTTGAGCAGAGCTAGACTAGGCAGGGCTGCCCTGGGTCTCCCAATAGCAGGCACAAGCACCAGCCCTGACAGGGGTGGCAGAGGAATGGCACAGACTCTGTAAGATTTCCTTTGTTATAAATAGCCTTAGTGTGGTGGCTTTCTCAAATGCCAGCTGTGGTAGTAATGTACTGGGTGGGTGAGCAGGCTCAGGGCCTCCTGAGTAGCTGGGGTGTTACGGAGGATTGTGGTAGTTAAGGTGGTGAGAAGTTAGTCTCCTACCCACTTGCTGTGCAACTGCAATCAGAAGTTGTAATGGGCTGTGCAGGTTGACCTCCCAGCCAATATGTGGTGCTTGCAGGACTGAGGCAGCTGAGGTGTTGGCAGTGGGATTTATGGTTGGCCTTTGTAAACCAGAAGCACTTGAATTCCTGGGCAATGGGCAGAGTCATGGAATCTCAGGTCACTCCCAGAGATTCCTGTCTGGTGTTTGACCACCAAGGTGGTAGGGGTAATGAAGTCCAACACAGCTTGGCTGGACAAGCCCAAGATCAGGCTTCCCCAAGGTCACTAACTGACAGAGGTTGAGGGCAGCCCTCAGGCCACTGGGGCAATGTTCCAGGGAGGGGCAAGGGGGGCTCTACCTGGCCAAAGGGCCTGCATGGGGGGGAGGGGACAGCCCAGGATCCACAGCCCAGCAGGCAGTAGTGGGAGCCACCTACTTCCCAAACCCTTAACCCAGCAGGTATCCCACTGGTGGCCTGTTGCTGGCAGCAGGCCAGAACTGCCAGCCAAGTCTCAAGCAGTCAATGTTCAGATTGTGAAATTGCCTCAGGTCACAAGACTCCCTGCCTGGAACAGAAGCCACAGCTCCCAGGTCACATCCCTCCTGGTCCAGTCCAGTGAATCAACTCCTGTACTGGCAGCAGAACCTACACCACACTCTCCTTTCTGTTCTGACTATGAGGGCTCCTCCCTCATCCTAGATCAGATGGCAAATCCCAGTTCAAAGCCTCATCCAGCTTGTGACCGCTATGCCCACTGACTGGCAGATTTTTGCACAGTCCCTGTGAGCTAGGATCAGGAATGATCTCCCTCTATGAACACCGTGTCTGGAGCATGCACAAAGCACCTCCCAATGCCATTCCTTCTCACAAATTCTCACCGCTCCCCAAATCATTTCTTGTCCTTGGTGGGGTCCAGGAGCTCCATGAGGATTGCCTGGCTCCTCAGTGGGAAGCATAAAGACAGTCTTTCCCCGTCTCTTGCTCTGGTAACATAGTTTTCCACCCAATCCTCAGCATGGGCTGCTGCCCTCCACACCTCCAAGTAGTCAAAGTATCCAAACAACTTTTATTTATTTACTTATTTTGACCTGTGGTGTTTCTTCTTGGATCCTTCTTGGATAAAAGTTCCCAGTGTGAATATTACACCCTGTTTTGCTATTTCCAAGTGGGTGAGGTGAGCTAACAAAGCCTCTGATCCACTATCTTGGGGGAAAAGAAAACTGTTCGCTTTTATTACGACTTCCAGTTTGCCCATTTCACAAATTAAATCTTTTGTCCTTATTATTGACTGATTGCAAAATTGTTATATTTTAAAAGGGATACAAAGTAAGAAATCTGTATAGTATTAATTTTAGGGGAAATTATTTTTAAATTATAGAAAAAATTAAAAATGAAAAATTTATTAGTTACATTTTGGAGATGCTTTTTGACATTTCGGGGTGTTTCTCCAATTCATCTTATCTACTTTCACAATCTACTTAGGTGAATGTCGACTTTGGAACCATTTTTAAAGCATGAGTACGGAATGGCTAGAATTTGTAAAGTCACAAATTGTTACATATTTATATATTAAGTCAGCATTATACAAAATTTAAGCAAATGTTAGCCTCCTACAAGCAATTTATTATCTAGAAATACATATAAAGATTAATTAAATTCTGCATGTTTAAATTGAACCTGATTTAATTCACAATTCCTTAATACTGAACATTCTAACTTGGGCATACATAAAATTTATGGATTGAAAACTCTTCAGTAACCATGATTATAATGGGTAATCTCTTACACACAGTATCAACATTTGGAAGGGTAGTCAGATATAGTGCATCATCAATGAAAGAAGAAGCTTATGAAAATATTATGAATATGCATGGGGTTTAGAAGACAATTCAACATTGTTTTCATTTACCCTTAACTAGTTACTATTAAGTTTTAGTTTCCCCCAAGGCAGAGTTTAGGATGAGAGTTAGAATACAAGTAGTTTGTTTGGGATATAATCCCAGGAAACACAATGAGAGAATGAGGGACTGAGACTAGGAAGAGAAGACAATAAAGAGTGTGTTGATGTGGTCCTCATGGGAACCTGGGGCGCCATCCTGCAGTGTACCTTCTGAGTGACAATCTGGGGCATGGCATGGATCTATCCCACTGAAGGGAGAACATGGTGTTTATCCATCATCTCCCACTCTTCATTCTGAACTCCTTGGCATTTTCCACCTGCTCAATGCCCAAGCTAAGCATACTCCTTAGGCAAGAAAGTGTCTTCAGGTAGAAAGATTCTGGAAGCCTTGGAGATGGATAGAACCTGTCTGCAGGTGATTTCTTGGGTGGGCAGAGGGGATTTGAGCAGGGAAGTGTTAGCAGTGGCAAATTCATACGGATCTGCACCAACCTCAATTCTTGCCTCCTCATAAGAAAGAATTCGACCAAGGGGGCATAAGGCAGAGCGGGAGACAGAAGAAAGTTTTAGAGCAGGAGTAAAAGTTTATTAACGATTTTAGAGCAGGAACTAAAGAAAGCAAAATATACTTGGAAGAGGGCGAAATGAGTGACTTGACAGATCCAAGTGCATGGTTTGACCTTTGACATGGGGTTTTATACATTGGCATGCTTCCGGGTATTTTGTTTTTTCTCCCCCGATTCTCCCCTGGGATGGGCTGTCTGCATGTGCAGTGACCTGCCAACACTTGGGAGGGGCTACATGCACAGTGTGTTTTCTGAAGTTGTATGCATTCTCACTTGCGGCGTTTTACCCTTACCAGTCGAGTGTTCCTAGAGGAAGGTCATATACCTGTTAAACTGTGCCATTTTGCCTCTTACTCCACGTGCTTGAGCCAACTCGCCCAGCTTCTGAGATCTTATTGGGAAGTGCTGATTACAAGTTTCAGGTGTTTTCTATCGGGAGATGGACTTTCCCTGGCGCTGACTGCAACCAGTTATTATTTTAGATAGTATAACAACCACCTAACCATCATCTGATGATTACCTGACATTCCTGGTTGGGAAGGAGTGGCCTCTCCTGCACTGCTCATGTCTGCCTAACTACCTACTCTAACAGAACTACCATTCTTTTGATGCTGAGTCTGTCCACCTCAGCTGGGCAACCATCAGTCCCTCTTCTCTATGATCTCCACTTTTCTCACAGCACAAGCCATCTTTCCTATCCCTCTCTCCTCTCCCAGTGAGCGCAAAAAGATAAGAAAAGTACTTAGGCATTCTAACATGCACTTTTATTGACCTGAGAGTCTTTTAACAATTCTGATTTTTTTTTTTTGTTTTGAGAGGGAGTCTTGCTCTGTCACCCAGGCTGGAGTGCAGTGGCACGATCTCTGCTCACTGTAAGCTCCGCCTCCCGGGTTCATGCCATTCTCCTGCCTCAGCCTCTCAAGTAGCTGGGATTACAAGCACATGCCACCACGCCCAGCTAATTTTTTGTATTTTTAGTAGAGACAGGGTTTCACCATGTTAGCCAGGATGGTCTTGATCTCCTGACCTTTTGAGCTACCCGGCCTCCCAAAGTGCTGGGATTACAGGTGTGAGCCACCATGCCCGGCCTCTGAGTGATTTTATGATTATGTTTACAACTATTCACTGTAAGGGACTACCAGGGAATGCAAGAAAGCATAAGCAGCATTAGTATAAGTGTATCAGTGTCAGAAACAACCCGATAATTTCTATCTTTCACGATATGCTTCCGCCAATCATTGAGTCATCTTTACATAAATACAGTCACTGTGCTGAAACCCACCTACAAGAATTGCTTTTTTACTTGTTCTTGACCAGATCCCTTATTTTATCCACAGACATCTGTCAACTTAATTGTCCATGCCCTTGGCATATAACAGGTGTAAGGCTGTTCACTAAAACAGAGTATTTCAGTCAAGTTTATATTATTTTCTTCTAGTTGCTTGTTCCAAACCAGACCTCTCTATCTCCTGGAATTCAGACATTTACCTATCCAGACCACAACTGTCAAACTTTGACTTCTTACTTATCAACCTAGGTTTCTGCTCTCCCAGTTCTTCCTGATCTTGGCAATTATATACACTTCCACTCTTCTATTGCCTGTCTAGAGTCTGTTCTCTTAAAACTATCTCAGTATATTGCCCAGTTCTGGCATTCTTGTCCTGATTACTGTTCCACTGGCACCCATGGAACTGCTGTCTATGAATTCAGTCAGTAAGCACTCATTCCATTGTAAGTATTAATCTAATCATTAAGTATTAATTCAGTTTTTGAGAACTTACCATGTGATCTGTTGTAGGAGTTGAAACACAGCAATGAATAAAACAGACCAAGTCCCAGCCCTGAAGGAACTTAATTATCAAGGGGTGACTGGTCAGGGCAAATATTTTGTTAAAATATGTTTACAACAAATATCCAGTTTGAACTGTGGCTTCAGTTCAAATTATTTCCTCAGAACCACCACAACAACTGACCATAATTAGACAGAAATACATGTCATTTAACACGGGAAAAAGCAACTAGAAAGTAATTTGCCACATTTGAAATCTAAGGTGGAGTCTGAAAAATATGCTTTAATTTTTAGGGTATTTCAAAATAACCTTTGCCCCAAATATTTTTGAAACAAAAGAAATTGAGAAAAATATTTGGCCTGTCTGTGGTTGATACATTTTTTATTTGAAAACCATTGTCAAATGCTCTAATTTGTTTTGTGTCTACCCTAATTTTTTTAAGTCTGAAATAGAGTAATTAATTTATTCACTCATTTAGTCATTCAACGCATATATTTTGAATGTCTATTGTGTGTCGGAACAGAGCTAATTCTCCAAGGGGACGAACGTAGACTAAGTAGGCAGTCAAATAATGTATGACAGTGCATATAAGGAAATAACCTGTATACACTGATACAGGGGGTATGGGGGAAGGTTTGGGCGAAGGGAAACTTTTTAGATAAACAGAGAATGCTTGAGACGTTAGGAGTGAGACTGAGACTTTTTTTTGATGTGGAAAGCAAATATAATGTGACTGAAACAGTCTCATATGCATTAAAATGATTGTAACACATCTGCCCTTTATTTATCACTGTTTCCCAAAATGTTCACCTTTGTTCTGAAAATGCGACTAAAATTCCAAAAGTTAAAAGCAAGAGAAAGTTTGGGTGTGAAACAAGGACTTACAATATAATTGCTCTTTCAACACTTAATTACACTGTATATTTTGAGAAGCTATAATCAAGAATTGAAAGTTGCTTTTTGTCTCAGGTTCAAAAATCATGAAGCAACAATTTACACAATGAATGTATCTTTGTAAGAAATTCTGAAACAGAAAACAATGAGTTGGTTACCATTTCCTAAGTGAAAATGAGTCCAGACAAGGGATACTGCCTCTCAGCAATTTTGGGGGTTTATTTTGTGGATGCTTTTTGAGTGGGAATGGGAGGTTATGAGGGCAAATAGAAGAAGACTCAATAATAGAAGCATTTAGCATAAATACATTTTAAAGACACTTTTGAGAAATCAAATATGGCTAGTTTTACACAATAAATTTTAAAGCATGTGAACAAAAAATTGTTGGCCAAGACAATTTTCCAAAACCTCATTTTGTTCTTATGCACAAAATTGTAAATAAACTATCTATTGCTACCTCTGTAAGCCCTATCAATATAATTATATGTTGTTATTACTTGGTTTCATCCTAGTATTAATACATTTTAAAAATAATCATATTCATCTTTTTATTCCCATTTAATGGAAATAATGTCTTAAGCATCTACTGTAGGAATATTATGACTTATGTATTAATATTCAGACACAGGCAAATATTTAATTCTAGTTATGTAAATTTATATAAAATTACCTTGAAAAATTAAGTTCATATTTAATTATTATTATATTTACTTTAAAAACTGTAAAAATAGCATGTTTTTCTAATAAATTATTATTACTATTTTATTCTCAATTCCTTTTTGTCTGATAAAACAATATAATTCCTATAGATGTAAAATAACATCTAGTTGAATCATTCATGATTTATCTGATTTTATGACCACAGAGTAATAAGAAATGGAGGAAGAGGAAGTAGAGTCATGCACCCCATAACAATATTTTGGTCATTGATAGACTATATATGTGATGGTCTCAGTTATCTATCAGATCATAAAACATAATATATATAGGGTTGGTACTATCCACAGTTTTAGGTACCCACAGGGGGTCTTGGAATGTATCCTCCTTGGATAAGGGGGGACTACTGTACTGCATATACTGTCCATGACATTTTTTCTTTTTAATTCAATCTATGTAACTTAGACAGTTTTCATTTCAGTACATATATGTAGTTTGACACAATTTTCAGTGATTGCATAATTCCATTTTTTAAATAATAATTTTATTGTTTCTACAAAAGATACATGCTTTTTCTAAACTATACTCAAAAAGAAAAATACAAAGAAGAAAGCCTCAAATGATTCCATCACCAGATATCATTGACATTCACTGTACAGCACTCCAAGCATCTCCCCAAGCCCGAATAACTCAGGATATTGCTAGATATATAAATGCCTTGCAAGAACAGGGATCATGTCACACATACCACAGCTCTTTTTTAATTTCTTCAGTTCCTGTTTATTAAGTACAAACCATTCTTTTTGTCATTCGCCAAAAAGAAGTAGCAGCAAAACAAGCCTCAAAGATTTCAGGAAATATGAAATTTAAAACTTTGTCCGGAGAAAACTCTATCCATTAGTTGGTTCTTGCAGACAACTGAGAAGCCTACACAGTGATCTGGAGCACTGTGTCTCATAGAGCAGGTGGCCAAACTCCCCTCCAAGCATGGACACCTGCTGAGGTACAGAGCTCTGCAGCAGCCGCGGGTAGGCCTGGGGTCCCTCAGACTAGTGGCGACCTCCTGTTGCTCTAGTGCTGCTCCTAGAGCCAAGCTTGAGAATCTGCTGCTGATGTGTTTTACAACCTGGGAGGTGTCTGTGGTAGGCAGACCAATGTCCCCCAAAACACTCATGTCCTAGTCCCTGGAACCTGTGAACATAGTACCTTATATGGCAAAAGGGACTTTGCAGATGGGATTGAGTTAAGGATCTTGAGATAGAGAATGATCCTGGATGACCTGAGATTCGGGGGAGCCATGTAGTCCTGAAGATCCTTGTAAGAGGGAGGCAGGAGTGCCAGAGTCAGAGAGAGATGTAAGCACAGAAGCAGAGGTCAGAGAGGGCTGTGTTTCCTATCACTGTTCTAACAAATTACAGCAAACCTGATGGCTTAAAGCAACACAAACATATGACCGTTCTGGAGCTCAGAATCTAAAATGGGTCCACAGGGTTGCATTCCCTCAGGAGACTCTGAGAATAATCTGTTTCTTGGCCTTGTCCAGCTTCTAGAGGCCTCCTCATCCCCTGGCTGGGGGTCCTTTCCTCCATCCTCAAGCCAACAGTGTAGCATCTTCAAATTCCTCTCTAATTCCACTTTCTTATTAGGTACTTAGAAGTATAAAAAAGTAGAGGCACCATCTAGAAGATGGTAAGAAAAGAAAACATAATCACAACTGCTAATCAGCATACACACACACACACACACACACACAGAGACACACAGTCTCTGCTGTTGTTGGCTAACGTAATATTTCAGGTGGATGCTCAGTATTTACAGAGGGCCTAAAAGATGCACAGTGCTAGTTAAATAGATAGACAAAGTGCTGAAATGGATATTGCCTTCCTTTTATTCAAGAAAATGCAATGTTTTGTCTGCCAAGAATTTGACATTTTGCTTAAGGGTAAGATGAGAAAATATTTAGGTAGGCATTAAAGGAAAACAGAGAAATTTAAGTAATAGCAAAATGCCAGTAAAACACACACACACACACAGATTAGCCACAGTCCTTTAGGTAAAGGTCAGAAAAGTATAGAATAGGCCTATAAGAAATAATGGTTACACACATACACACACAGACAGAGGCACACACATGTATAACATAAGACAGAAAACTTTTTGTCTATAACTATTCACAGCCAAAATACGCCTGGCTGTAGAAGAGGCTGATGAAAAATTATCAGGTGGGAAAAATATTCGAGCAGGTGATACATGTTAAAGAACAGGCAAATCAACAATTCATCCTTTAATGCTGTCTAAAAACGTAAAGCAGGGTTGGTACAATTTAGTAAATGCCATCCATCCACAAAGCCCATACCAAGCCAATTTCCAACAGCCAACATTTTCCATCTTATTTTCTCTATAATATTTAGCTCTTTGCTTTAATTACACTTGATATTTGTAAAGAGAAAGCTGGCGTTGTAATAATTGGATAGCTTTTTTATCTATGTTGGCAGAAACAGAATTTTCTCTTATATTTGAAGAGCAATACAAAAGCAAAGTCTCCTTTTCTCACAAACTCAATGCCAAAACTATCCTCTGAGTCACACAGTTTCTTTAAATCATGTTGTTCTGAAAGTTGAGATGTGCTATCTTAAAGCTGCTGCCAGGATCACACTGTTCCTAAGCTAGAACCAAAAAACTAGCAATGTCAATCCGTCAAAGTGTATAGACCTCTCCAAGACATTATTTTTCTCCTCTTTTATTCTCTTCTTCCTTCTGACATTCCCACTTTTTTCTTTCCTTCCTCTTATCCTTCTTTCTTTCCTATTTTATGCTTCTTTTCTTCCTTTTTTCCTTCCTTTTTTGTCCTTCTTTCCCCTCTTCCCCCTCCCCATCTCTCACTCTTTCTGTCTCTCTCTCTCATACACACACACACACACACATTGAGGATGCAAGAGAAAGCAAAGTAATGACAACCTTTTAAAATTACAGATCCGAAAGAAACTTGGGAGGTCCTAATATAGCAAGAAAATCCTCTGCTCACCACATTTTTTCTAGAAAAAAATAATTCCAGACTGAGCTGCAGAGTTTCAGAATCTCAGCACAATACCTTCAGCTTTAAAGGAAAAACTGAATCTTCTAATGGAAAAAAATTCCGTGTTGAATTAATTACTTTTAATATCTATACAACATTTTAACTGTTGGGGATAATGTTTTATTTATCATTAATATCAATCAAATATAAATATATTCTTAAAATTTTTTCATCATCAAATAAGTATTTTAAATTGCATTATGAAATCTAGGAAAGGTGTGCTCTTTAATATGTACTAATGACATTGTGAGTTGACTGTCTGTGCAAAATTCAAATATAATCCTGTAGACTTTTGTTAAAAAGCAGGTTTCCTAAGTTCTCATTCTCATAAGTTATTCTTAGCTATTTTAAAATACCAGAAACACTTCTTAAAAATTTTAAATTCACTTTGCAAGCAAAATAGATAACTCTACATGCGCACAACTACCAAAATTTTCATTTATGTATTCAAAATACCTGTTTTGAAAGGACATTTACCTGTTTTCAGTCACAACTTAGGTGTAAATCTCTAAAATTTTAGCTGACAGGTTTTACTATGTAATAAAACATGTCAAATTCAAACTGACAAGTGGATTTCATTTTTGGAGGGTTTTTCCTCACACCTTTTTCCATTATAATACAAGTACTACTTAGCCATATGATTTTCTGCAAAACTTAACGAAAATGTAAAACATAATGCATGTCTCAACATCTTAACACTTACATAGAGCGTTCTGGGGGAAAAGAAGAGTCTTGCTAAATTCAGAAAATTGTGCTGTCTGTAAATGAAGAGGCTGCCAGCTTTCATCTGTTCTCTTTCTCTAGGTACTTGCATGCCTGCCTTCTAAACCTAGAACGAGGACAGTAATTCCATCCTTGTTGCATCTCTGAAATTCTTCAATTACTCAATTTGTGGAATTAGAATACCGCATTGTCCGGCCACATTTGTTCTAAGCAGATGATCTGGACATAGAGAGATGTCAGCCAATGAGCAGAATAACCACTGTATTTGCAGCTTATCTTTTAATGGAGATCTGGAGAGATGTAAAATGCAACCATCCCATTAAGTGTGCATATGCACCACTCGTTTAATCAACCTGGAAATTACGAGATAATGTATTATATTAATTTATTTTAAGCCACAATTAATATTGGAAATAAATACTAATATGACAAGCTATATAAATTGTAAAGCACTTTTATTGTGGGTGCTGACTCCAGCTTGGTGAGTGGTGAGAGACTAAACTATAGTTCACTGAAATTGTGTGTGTGTGTGTGTGTGTTATAGAATTAATCTATTCTATAACTATCATTATTAGCATGAACATTAAGCAATAAGAACTGGTGCTCTAGTTTAGCTACAGCAGGACATCTTAATTTTGAGCTACATGCTTAGATGAAAAGAGACATAAGATTATATTTGCATAAAAACTTTTAATTATTTAACTTTTAACCTAACAATAGATACTTACAATCTTAATTTTTTGTACAAATGCCTCAACATTAAATAGAAAGTGATATTTATTTATTATCAAATGTCATATAACAAAAGAAACGCTAGCTGTTATTAAAAATGGACCACTACTGCCCCCTTCTGGTATAAAAAAGGAAGAAAAATTATTCTTCTCAGGACTTGAAAAGACACTCCCACTAATCCCCTAAACAGCTGTTTCAAGTCAGATTTACGCCAATTCTTTTCTGACTTAGTAATAAATCTTTCATTCTTCACCTAAAATGCTGAATATTCTGATGTTTTACTGTTGTGAGTTACCTTTCTAGGAAACATTACAAAGTCAGGGAATCCTGTTATTTCTTAAATATAATAAAATGGCTTTATGCAAATTGAGCTTTAAAATAAATTCGGGAAATCATCATTTAAAAAATATTTGAAGTTTTATCATCATTGGTTTTACATTCGATTGTGTGAAAGCTAATACACTTGAATCTATATCTGGCTTAATCACATGAAATGTCATGTTGCTGCGGTTTTCACCAAATTCAAGCTGATACTCACAGACACACTCATTCATTACACTCCTTTCTGACATAACATAAAGGGCAAAAGGCAGCATGATAGATTAAAAAGATATTACGGTACAATATTAATTACAGTATCAGCACCTTTTTCTAGCTCAGACTGCATATAAACGTCTATTTTCATTTTTACATTCAGAATATACTTTGAGGGAGAATGAATTTATTGTATAGTGAATGGGAATTTTGGTCAGATATTTTAATGTCAGGATGGCACCAAGTGTGAGCATATTAGAAAATTTGGAATTTCTGTCTTTAACCCAATTTGGATTTTTGCACGATTATTGTAAGAATGTAAGATTGAGGGAGATTATACAAATCATCACGTATGTAACCAGATAAAACAAAACAGAAACACTTAATTTAAAAATTATACTCTATGAAACTGTAAGCCAAAAAAAATTACCTTTTTCTCCAAAGAATTTTAGAAAAGTATAACAAAACATTCATTTTCAGAAGTGAAATATTAAAATAAATGGTACTGCATTCTTAAATTATAATAATGTCTCCTAGTGTTGGGCATATTACATTAATTTATGAAATCTTCCATTAGTAAAATTACCCACAAATCAATAACTTTTACTACTGTTTAAATACATCAAAATAAAAATATTCAGTATTTCTAACATATCTCATCAAAATATGGATCTATAAACAAGATCAACCTCAGAAAAAAAAATCATCCTCAACCAGCAATGTCATATTGAACTTCCAAATAAGCTTGCTAAACGCCTCTGTTACCTGACTAGGCTCAATTCATATTTTACTCCTAAAGTACCATTATTCCATGTCATTATTACTCATATCTCATTCCAGAATGATTTTGTTTTCTGAAAAATATGTGGCTGTATTTTTTTTTAGTCTTTCCTGCTACCCACTTCAGGGTGTGTGTCTTTTCTACTGAGGCAGTTTAACTTTCACACATTGAAAATGACAACCAGCTCAATTTGATGATGCAGAAGAACTAAATACATCAGGAATAATGGGACCTAATGAGATGTTTGTGTTATACTATATTTCAAATGAAGAAGTGCTGCTCTGTGAAAGTATGAAGAACCCAGGAAGTAGCACCAGAGGGATGATTTCTGAATGGGTGTTTTTACCTATCAAATTTGTGACTCTCCTACAGCTTATCCCTTTGACCAGGAGTAACAGTAGGATGAAACATGCTGACTTTGCTAACTATTCTGTCCTGAGACTCTCTGACATAATCCACTTATAGTTTCTAAAATTCTGTGGTGTGATCCAGATGTTTCTATTCCAACTTTCTCTTCAGATTTTCAAAAATATACAAAGGAATCCCTCTATATAGAGAATAATAAATCAAATGAGGAAACAATTTAAATTATTATTTTTAAGCAGTAATAGTGATTGTATTGTATCACAGGAAAACTAAAACGTATTTGATTTCTAGTTTTAACTCTTTGACTGCATTTAATTATGGTCCTCATTTATTATCACTACCAACAAGGATATGGAGGGCACTTTTCAATACATTCCCTCTGACACTCAGAGGCCAATTCTCTCTGAATGCAAACCACACATGGTACAGCTGCGGAGTGCTGATGCTGGTATGCAGACACTATAGATATGCAACTGTCACTAGGTGAAACCGCATTAATAAATACCCACCTCAAAGAAGAGGGAGGTGTTAAGGCTTTTAAGCCACATTATACATTATATTCAGAAATCTCTGAGTTGCTTGTTGCAGTTCAGAAGGAAGAGGACCCAGAATATTTTAGGTATATATGAAACATTAATATTATATATAATACAGTGCTACTATAATCAAAAGGACAGCCAAAGAAAAACCAAATATGATCTATGTACATTGGAGGAAAATCAACTGTATGAAGACTAAAAAATTTAGATCCAAATTCTAATTTTTTAATTCATATGTGCCAGTTATCCAAATGTTTTAAATATTTGGGAAAATAAAGGCTTTTCCATGTATGCAAATATTTATAGCATTTGTATACATAACAGTTTTCCCAGTTTTAGCATATCTTATGTAACATATATTCTAAACTTGGTAGATCTGTGTACTAATTATGAGAATCATAAAATTATGTTTCAACAGAAAAGAAAAATGTAAGAGAGAAAAAAGTGCTTCAAAAAAAAAGCAACTAAAGCTGTTTAACTATTAATGATGATTTCCAACTATTAGGTAAAGATTTTTTTCCTAGGTAGATCGTGGGAGTTCGTGATAACTATAGGTATGATCAAGGCTTATTTCAATGCTTTGAAATGTCAAATGAGTAATTTTATTCTCTTTTATTTTTAAACTATTTGCAGAGACAACACACAATTATATAATGTTACATTTATTTTAACCTACACTTCTTCCTTCATAAGGTTACTTGTCTAAACATTTCACTAACATTGTGCAATTTTAAACTGAGAAAAAGAACAAAGTTACAAGTGTGACAATTTATCAGGAATAGATTAAGTGACAGCTGTAACTAGAATCAGAATTAGTAGATTATTTTAATAGTTCCAGGAAGAGTATAATTTACAAAAGTACATTTGAACGATGTTAGGAAGATATCAGGAAGAATTATTTGCTTAGTACAGGATGATTTCTTTAAGTTAAACTTCAGTACTATTCTTTCCATTTGAAATGTTTTAAGTATAGAGATGTGTCTCTTGATTCAGCAATTCAACAATTGATTCATTGACATGAGAGAAAAGTGAGCATTTCCCAAAGATTTTGCTGAAGTCATGGAATCTTTTTGTAAATTTATGATTTTTAAAAAATATCTTTTGATAGATTGTCCTTCCTGTGATTGTAATTCTAAGAAAATAATATATGCATTCAAATTTTTTTATATACTAAATTAACTGCAATTCATCTTTCTTACAATTGAATTACTAAGAAAGAATTTATTTAGGCAAAGTTTCATTATATTCTATTTCTCAACTCCCTAATATCTAGAAATCTGTTTTTTTCCCTGTATCTAGAAATCCTTCCTTTTTTCCTGAAACACTGCTCCTCCAGAAATCTTGACTATTTAAGAGGTATTAATCCAAATTTTCCTAAAGCCTAATATATTAACAGTCGATACTATTCTTTTACCAACATAACCCACTTGACTTTAATGCAAATATATATGTGAGACATGTTTTTGTGAAGCATCTTTCATTATGTCCATCAGTATGTTCTTTCATAAGTCTTATCCATTTCAATATCATTTCTTCAGGTGAAAAAAGAAAAAAAAAAGCTTCAAGAGGAACCATTTATCCCTTACACAGTGATGTGTATATTTGGGTATTTCTTAGATTGATGATGATGATGATGATGAGATGATGATAATGATGATGATGATGATTTAAAATATTATATTTTTGTAAATATTGCTTGAAAAGAAGAACTTCAACTTGGGAATTATGCCAGATACAAATACACCTTTCAACTTTAAATTTTGTAATTTTAAAATTTCCCTTTCCAAAAGTTCCTTCGGATAACTTATTATCCTGCTTGAGTTTTTATAAATTGTATGCGTTGCAAGGCAGAATATATTTTGCATTTCTGTCAAAGGTTCAATACCCGTTATAAGTAGAGTTGTGACTATACAAGGACTATAACAAAAGAAATTGCATGATATCCTTACCCTCACAGTGATTACATTCTCTTTCAAAGCAAAATAACTTTAACATAGAGCACAGTCTCTCCTACATTATGGAATGTTAAACTTTCACTCACAAAAAGCTATGCGTTCAGCATATTTACTATAAAAAAGTAGATTTTATTTCACCTATTAACTGATACAAAAGTGTTTTCTCCTTAGAGCCAAGGAGGAAAAAAAGCAAGTGGGTTATAAACACACACATTACAGATAGGTAAATAGATACAAGATAGAAATTCAAACTAATATAAAGATTTGAGCTGCCTTACATTATCGATTTTGGTTAAATGGAAGAAAGAAAGAACATTTTTAGTATAGAAATATGCATATTTATGACATACCTAATTCAGTGTCCAGTTTGTTTTATGATTTTTGTTTACTAAAGAGAAAGAAAAAGAGCTCTCTATACTTTCTGGACAGAAACATCCTGGACTTAACACTAGCCAGCCAAATGTGACCTAACTTTAAACTGCAATTGAAGAGTTAGGTCCTATCAAAACTGCCTACTCATAGGACTCAAAAAATGACCACGTATAAACCCAGTAAATGACCATGCGAATAGACAAGCGAATAAAAGGAAAACTGAAGATCAATCTATAAACTAAGGAACAGAGAATAATTTATTTATGATTGAAAAATAAAAATAAAATATAAGTTTAAAATGTGAATATAAATTTTCATGTGAAGATTGAAGCCATGGTTCTATAAATCTAAATATTCCCTGTACTAAAGTAGTTATAAACAGAAATTAACATTTTATCATTATAGTTTCACCTGGGAAGAAAATTCTGAATTTTACCTATGTCTAAGCAATGCTTTTCTAAATGGATTTTGAGTAAACTCAGAAATGACATCACAAAACAATTAGCCAAGTTCATTAAGGATATTCATTCCAAGTATATTGAGGCTTTAGCCAAGTAGATTGAGGAAAGTAATGACAAATTTTTAATGGCAGCTCATCTCCTTAAAATGAATTTTCTCAAATCTCTTCTGTTGGAACTTGTACAGTTGGAAGCATGCAGTTGATCGTTCCTAACATTTGCATGAATGTGTATGTGCTTGTGAGTGGCCACTATGTGTGAAGTCTAAGGGGACTGCTCCATGTTAATGAGAAACCAAGGAATTTCTCTAGCAGCATCTGGCGTAAGTGTGAATCACATAATTTAAAGTTGCCTTGGACAGCTTTTACTTACATGTCTTGTTTCAAATTTTAGATCTTCTTTCTTAAAAAGCACTTTAGTCTTTATAATATTAAAAGGGGAAAAGTGTTCTACCCTGTGCTTCAAGAAGCAGTTATGGATTGAGCATACGACCACCCCACGCACTCTGGTGGTACAGAATGAACATCACAAGCTCATACTGCTGTTTTCAGGAAACTTGAAAAGGCAGCCAGATGCAACCCAATCTGACAGTAAGCCTCTCATAAGCACAAGTCTGCAATCCATAAGCAGAATTATGAGTCAACTCAATTCACTCTAACAGAATTAGAATCCGAACCGTTTGAATGTAAAAGTCCACCTTGTCTTATCAGATTCCAAGCCTTTTTATTTTTTACATCATCCTTTGTAAAGGTTATAATGTAGATGCTCAGCAAAACTTTCATTAAGAATGTGTCATTTGTAATTTTCACAAGACTTAAAAAAGGAATAATGATATGGAATTTGAAATCAAAGTTGCTTTTATTTGAATTAAATAAAAAATAACTGACAGTAATGAAAGCTACACATTCTATATAGTTTAATGATGTCATTAAATTAAACCCACATCAAACCTTCATTAGAATAACTGCATGATTTTTAAATCAAATTCAACTCTACAATATTGAAGACATATTTTCAGAGAAAAGTAACTTGGCATTAACTTTTTTAAAAAAATGATTTAATTGACTTTCTTCTTGTGCTCCAATTCTTAACAGAAGTGACTTCTAGTTTTTTAAATTCTATTTTTGTTTAAGATATATTACAGAAATGCCAGGGTATAGATGAATTAAAATAGGAATAAGTTGAATGTCTCAAGTATCTCAAATATATACTCTTGTACAGTCTATACCAAATTGATACATAAACTAGAAAACTTATGAAATGACCAAAAATTAGGAGTTCTCACTTGAAGGATTACCTTATATGATTTTACCAAAAATACAGTGTGGCATGCAAACTTGAAGAACTTTGGAAAACAATATGCTTAATTAATCTCAGATAGCAAAAGTATATACAAACAATTTGTCAGCAATGTGATTTATGTGGAAAAATTTAGTTAATCTATAGTTTTATAAGTACTATAATGAGCTACAGCACAAATTATATTTTTCTAATTCAAATAGCAAAAGTTTTACATCGAGATTGAGATCATCATTCTTAAAACATTGTTTTGAGGCTCAAGTTTTTATGACTCAAGTTTCATCAAGAATCTTCATATTTGAATATTCTTTTTGCAACTGTTCTTTGCTTCACTTTTAAACAAGTCTCAGCGTAGCAAGGATGTCTCTGAAAATGAACCTTCTTAGTGCTTATTGAAAAGAAGGTAAGAACAGAAACATGAATTTTTCTTCTAATAGTGACTCCCCCTGAAAATAATAATTAGCTGGTGAAAGGCAATACTGGCTCAGCTGTCAACAGCTCTAAAATCAGAGTCTCCAGTTTAATCATATCCTTAGTATAATATGCAAAGATCTCTTTAGGAACCCAGAGCTAGCACTAATAAACAGCGCCAAGTCATTTCATTTTCTAGAAAAAAAATCAGTATCTGAAAAACTCGGAAAGAAATTGGCATTTTCTTTTTCTTTTTAAAATTGTGATTAATATTTTGTTAATGAGAACTTTTTAAAATTTTATTATTGTTTTTTAAAATGTTTATGAGTACATAGTAGGTGCATATATTTATGAGGTACATAAGATGTTTTGATACAGGCATGCAATGTGAAATAGGCAGGCACATCATGGAGAATGGCGTATCCATCCCCTCAAGCATTTATCCTTTGACCTTCAAACAATCCAATTAAACTCTTTAAGTTATTTTAAAATACCCAATTAAGTTATTATTGACAATAGTGTCGCTATTGTGCTATCAAATATTAGTCTTATTCATTCTTTCTAATTTTTTTATACCCACTAAGCATCCTCACCTCCCCTCCAAGCCCCCACTACCCTTGCCAGACTCTTTTCTTTAAAGCTGTAATTTGCACTCAAAACTAAGGAATTTTATTGAAATGTTCAATTTTTTCCCCATAACAGATCTACAGATAATTCTTATTTTGAAACTAAAGAAAAGGTCCTACAATGTGTTCATTTGTATTTGAAATATAAAAGATAATAATTCCCAAAGAAATCGCATACTGTATAATTGCTCCTTTACAGTAACAAATGGAAAAGGTCAAATAGTCCAACGATATTGATAAATCTAGGTGTGGTGAGATATTCTGAATAAAGGAAAGCCAGTTCATCCATTCAGTTAGACTTTGCTCTCAGATGCTATGATGGAATCCAGAGCACTAAAGCTGAGGGCTTATTTATGCTTCCTCTTTAAAAGAAATTACATATTATCTAGAAGAATTCTTTAAACATAAGAAATGTTCTTTCTAGTTTTCCTTTTTGATGTGTAATCAATAGAAAAAGTTATCAATATAAGTGTATTTAAATTTAGCCAAATTTACCTCAAACTTTAGCAGCCAAAAACAGCTCTCTGAGTTACAAGTCCCTATTTGATCTGGCTTCACTTTCCCCAATAGATTTTTGTTTTGTTTTGTTTTGTATTAGCTTTTGATTTTGCTCTGTAATCAAACGAAGCAAATATGAAGCAAAGAAAACGTGCTCTCAGGCCAACAAATCAAGAAAAAAATAATATAAATTAGAGTCCTAGATGCTTAGTACTTTTACCTCAAGAAAAACACATTTAAATAAAAAATTTAAATTCAGCACAGTTATTTGACCCTACATTTGCTGATTGTATTTCCATTTTAATTTATGCAGTTGTAATTAATATATCCAATTATAAATATATAAAATTGCACATATCAGATGTAATATTACCCAATTTCAGTGGGTTAAAGAATATATTTAAAATATTATTACATATTTAGAATGATCAAAATTTGAGAAAATCAAGTTTCAGTAAACAAATTAATTTTTTCTCTTCAAACTAAAGCACATGAGCTAAAATATAGTTCTAAAATTATCATAAAGGCAAATACTTTGTTTTATGACAAGTGTTTTACTTTATTAGAAAATTTATATCTAAAGAAAAAATATTTTTGCAATAATAAATATGATGCTTGCTGTTTTAAATTAAACAGTAAAGTTAAAGGATTGTTTTTAAAAATTGAACTCGATCTTTCTTGTAATAATCTTAAAACATGTCAAGTTATTCCTACAACAATTATTCCTATTTAATTTGGGTAAATTTTTTCTTGAAAGCAGTTTCAAAATATAATATTCTTACAAGGTCTTGTGATTTTGAAATGTGGCATATTATTCAGCTTTGGGTCTTTGATGTGTGTTTTCCCCTCAATCCATGCTCCAACAATTCTGTCATACAGAGAACTGAAAATTAAGTTATTCTCACCAGCAATACTCCCCCACAAAGAATCTATCAAACCATAGATATAAACCTCAGAACAATTCCTGCCAGGTTTCTCATGCAAATGCTGCAGAAAAACTTACAAGAGCACTTTAAGATATTGAGAACCCTTCAATACAACCCAGTATAATAACTTTTACTTGCTAATTTCTATGGGTCAGTTGCAAAGGAATAGACCTGTCAATCAGTTTCAGATGTAGCAGAATTTGTCTGTCTACAAACAGGGATACTTTGTCGTTGCCATAGAGACTAATCCTCCACTTTCCTTCTGTTGACACAGCTAGTCACAGTCTAAACTACCTGATCACACTTTTAATAGGCAGCTGACTGGAGTACCATAAAATGCTCAAATCAAGTTTGCAACACTTGAGGCACACACTGTTGCTTTTTAAAAATATTATAATTTAAACCTTGTAATATATTGAGTCCTATTTGTTCCATTACTTAAGCAGAATATAGAGAAATATTTATTACTTTGTTAAATGCCAAAATAAATACTGAATTCCAATAAAATAGACAAGAAATAAATATTGATATATTTGATAAGGGTTAGCATTTTTTCACTCTACACAGCTTAATAAATAGAATAAAATAGATTTCTTTGTTCTTTAGTATTATCTTTCAAACATATATTCATGTCATCTGGCAGTTCAGCAATCTTAAACATTAAAATAAAAAACATAAATCTTTGAAATTATTACCAGGAATATATTCAAGTTTGAAAAATTCAAAATTGACATTGATGTAAATTTTATGCAATATTTTATATTTATATACATTAAGTTAAATATATCTTTACTTTTCAGCTAATCTGACCATATTCTTTATTTCAGCTTAATTAGTATCAAAATATTTAACATTATTCTGAGTAAACTGTTTCATTTTCAGACACTGTAAATAGTTAATCCTTAGTTTCTGGCCAAGTGTAGCTTGACTCTTAAACTACTTAAGACAGTTGTTCAAATCTCTATAAAATCTCTCCCAGCATTTTCAATATGTT
This sequence comes from Homo sapiens, assembly GCF_000001405.40. Classification (NCBI taxonomy): domain Eukaryota; kingdom Metazoa; phylum Chordata; class Mammalia; order Primates; family Hominidae; genus Homo; species Homo sapiens. Next base: position 91,632,304 of record NC_000005.10, on the reverse strand, counting down.
GCTTATATTTTTCCTCGTGAAGCATTACTTTCATTGAAAGTTGTTAAATTATAAAGTTCCACTTAAGGTTTCCAAAGGTTGTTGAACTACAACAGCCTGCCCTTTCAACATATTTAATAAGAAGTTTGTAGTGATTCCTTCAATTAAGAAGGAAAATTGATGTGTATCATTAATTATGTCAGTAGAAATCATAAATCATCACTGAGTGCTGCAATTAATTATTTTTAAATCATGTGAAGAAAAATGACAGACACAAGATAAATCCATAGGCTCTTCAGATGAGAGGGATGTGGGAGGAAAAATATGAAGAAGAAAGGATACTATAAATTAAAAGCAATTCATAAATAAATAGCCACCTTATTTTTCTACTGTAGATCAATTTGAAAAATGATATTGGGACTACTTAAAACATGAACATTATACATCTTTGTTAGTTCAGTAACATTTGAGTTTCGAGAATGGATTATTTATCCACTTTATTAATTCACATCACACTGACACAAAGCAAAATAAAACTTCTCAGTCCAGATGCAATTTTTTTTAGAATAACAGTGAGAAATGGTTAAGCATGTGTTTCATTTAAGTGAATACTTTTTCACCAGTTTTTGTCCTTGTACTATTTAATTCAAAAACATACATTCTTAACATACACACAACTTGTTGAAAAGCCTTTCAGTTTTAAAAATAACTTTAATGAATAGAAACTGCATTACTAATTTTCAGAGTTACTGGTTTAGTAAGTAATTCACTAGTTTTTACTTTATATATACTTAATGCATCCCACTCTAAATCCCTTTGATTTCTGGACTTTTGTGTTGCCAAACACTTCTTCTATATGACATCATAAACTGCTCAATCTACAGATTTTTTTGTCTATGTTAGGATAAAAAAGACAACACATTGAGATGGAAATTGCTTCTGAACAACTGTTTTTTAAAGTTTTATCATTAATTTAAATATTTCTAATAACTGACATTTAGACCTAAACGTTACGTAGTGTAATTGGGAGCAGTTCTTATACTCAATGCTCCCCCATTTCCCCCTGCTCCTACCCCTCCTCTATTATATCCTTTGGGCAATTTCATAGCCTCAATTATCACCTGTAACGTTTAATTCATGAATATGTAGCCCAGCTCCAAGCTTTCTCTAGAGCTCTAGTCTCAATTTCTCACTCCCTCCAGAGCAAAACATTCTGGATGCTTTACTAGAACTCCAAAAGACATTATGTCCAGAAAAGAACTCATTAACTATACAAGCCTAGTTCTCCTCTTGTATCCTTAATTGTAGTCATGCTATTAATAGCCTCCTAGTAATAGGCTCAAAACCCTTAATATATCAGAGACCACCCTTTTCTTTATCTATGACATTTGGTCCTCATCAAGTTTGGTCACATTCATTCCTTCCTCTTTACTCCCCAAATCTCTTTGCTTATGCAATCCATTATTTTCTTTTGTCTGTTTTACTTCAGTTGCTCCCGAACAGGTCCCTTACCTCCCAGGTTTCCGTCCTACTATTTAACCTTCACATTTCTGCCCAACAAATTTGTTTACAGTCCAGCCCCAAACTTTATTCACTGCTCAAAAAACTTTCAAAGACCTATGTTAACAATTTAATAAACTCCTACTAAAATATTTTAAGAGGTAAGATAGAAATAAATAAAAGGAAAAAATATTGAATGATGTCTCAGTTCCTCAGCCTGACTTGATCTTCAAATCTCCCCACATTCCCACCTCTGGCCACAACATCATTTTTTATTATGATTTTTATCACCCCCACAATCCCCCACCCTGGCTAGCCCCTCTAATAAATGTGATGTAGTAGACATAGTATGATGAGAGAGTGTCTTAGTCTATTTTATGCTACATAACAGAATACCACAGAATCGGTAATTTATAATGAAGAGAAATGTATTGGCTCACAGTATCAGAGGCTGGGAAGTCTAAGGTCAAGGTGCCACCAGGTTTGGAGTCTGGTGAGGCCATTCTCTTCTTCCAAGATAGTGCCTTGCATGCTGAATCCTCTGGAGGGGAGCAAGGCTGGATCCTCACATGGCAGAGGGTGAAAGGGACAAACTGGAGAGCCCACTCCCTAAAGCTCTTTTTATCTTTTTATAATGACATGAGGGCTCTGCTCTCAGGACCTAACCATCTTCCATTGGGCCCCGCCTACCAATATTGTTACAATGGCAAGTAAATTTCAGCATGCATTTTGGATGGGGACAAACATTCAAACCATAGCAGGGAGTAACATTGGAAGAAAAACAGTCTTTTGTTAATGTTGTTCATTGATGCAATCCTAGGCCTAGAACATAAGAATTCTCAAAAACTACTTGCTTGGTATTTCAACTGAAACATTTTTCATCTGAAAGGGGAGATTTGATTTGATTTACAGACCACTAGTGGGCTTGACAAAATAAGTGATGGCATAATTTTTTAGACCAGATCCAGTTTTTATTCTTTTGAGATAAGCAATGAGACAGGAATTTAGGAACTGAGATGTAACAAAGTAAAAAGATTCTTCATTAGCTTTATATATTCTCCTTCTAGAAAAGAGTGTTTTGACCACCTTTACAGTTTCCATCAGAACAAAAATGACTGGTGACTGTAATATCTAAGAGGCAAAACAAAAGGTCATGTCCTTCTTTCTTCTTTAATGGTGATACTAAAAAAAAAAAGCTGGTGCAATATTGGGAATAATTTTATACAGGAATGTATAAACAATTCATATCCTATGTGTTGCAGTATATTCAAAATGTTCTTCTGAGAAAGGTTCACAGAGTCCTAAGCATGATTTATTTCAGCACAATAGACATGATTCATGTTGTTCCTCCCATTTTTGGCTCACAGATAAAAAAATTACTAATTATATTGTGAGCATATAGTATATGCAAAAATTATAGGTGAATTAAGACTATAAAAGAGAATTTATTTGACCAGTAAGCTGTACCATTATTCATTATCATTATTAGTTGTATGATCGTTATATAAATCACATACACACATACACACACAGACAATAGTCTTCTATTTTATCTTTTAATACTACCAAATTTGAAGAACTCTTCTTACTATTAAAAGAGTTGATTTTGAAGAGTGTATTTCTTAACACATTGTAGATGTTCAATAGAAGTTTACTCCTTTTCTCCTTTCTATTCAGTCCATTCTCTACCTACATTAAACTTGCCTCTTGTCTGAATACACTTTGCTTATATAAATGGCTCTGCCTATCATGCCCTTTCCTCTGTTCCAGCCTGTCCAAATCCTACCTACTCTTCAAGCATGAATTCAAATGACACCTTTTCCATAGTTGCTAGTTCCTACATCTTTGGGGATTTATCACTTTGGGGATTTACCTCATCTCCATTGTTATGGTCTAAGATTGATGATAAAATTATATCTGACTTATTTTTTTAATGACTCCCCTCTCCTTAACATCTAATTCACTGCCCTACAACCAAGCATGAAAATCCTTAGCGAACAAATAAATATTATCTGAACATAACTTATTGCCATCAAGCAAAATGAGAGAGAAGTTAATTAAAAGTCACAAGTCCAGCAGTTCCCATAGAGTAGCAACAGACTCCAGCCCTCTTTTCCTGAATCCTAGGACTTTTGAATCTACATTATGTTACCCATTTATGAAGGAAAAATGAGATTTGCCATTCTTAATTTGAAATATATATCCAGTTCTTAAAACAGACAAATTGGTCAGGTCTACACTGTAAATTAAAGTGGAAAATTATTTCAACTGTCTGTGTAATTAAAGTTCAATCAAGCAACGAAAGAAGTATTTTTACCTTGAATAATCCTGCAATTACCTTAATTATCCATATTCTTTTGCACTTTCTATAACAAAAAATATCCAAAACAATAAATTCTATATCTGATTATCTTTAATAAAATGAATTAAATATGCTTCTGTTTAAAAAAAAAACTATGATAATCCCTTTGCTGAATATACTGAATCTGAAGAGGTAGAGTCACTTGTCCATTGGAAACACTAAAAAAAGTAAAGAGAAATATTCAAAATGCATTACAAAATGCCAATACCACACATGTAACTTGTTAATACTTTTTTCTGTCATGTTCACATTATGTTTCTGAACATAAGATGGCTTTGGCTCCTTTAAGAGCCCAATTGTTAGACTGGAAAAATGTCTCTGCAGCCTTGAAAGTTCGCTGAGTCTCCTTCAGTAAAGAAATAGAACTTCTTTACTAAAAATTAATAATCTTTTATTGTGGTTTATTAAATCATTTTTATCAGAAATAGAAATCTAAAATAACAAGAGTGTCTTAGTCAGTTTGGACTGCTATAACAAAATATCATAGGCTGGATGGCTTAAACAACAGAAATTTATTTTCTCATAGTTCAATAGGCTAGAATTTTACTGTCAGAGTGCCAGCATTATGGGGTTCTGGTGAGGTATCTCTTCCTGCCTTATAGATGGCAGCCATCTTGCTCGGTGCTCACATCCTCATCTTTGTGCATGCCTGAGGAGAGAGATGTCTCTTCTGATAAGGATGCTAATTCCATCATGAGGGCCCTACACTCATAACCTCATCCAAACTTAATTACCTCCGAAAAAGCTCATCTCCCAATACCATCACATGGGGATTAAGGTTCAACCTATAAACTTCGAGGCAACACAAGTCAATCCATAGCAAAAGGTATATAATTATTGTATAATTAATTTAGAATTTAATCAATGACTGAAACCCGATTAGAAATTAAGACATGGGGATTTAAAAAGAAATGCAGGAGCTATTCTGTAGAGTATTTCCTTTTCTTAGTCTCTCATTTACTTCTACATTTTCTCTTAACATTAACATGGAAAAAGTCATCAAGAAAAATGAGAAGAATTGCAAAATATTGGAACTATGGAGTCAAAAAGTTGCAAGGATGGATCTAGGTTCCTAGATTCAAACAAATCTGCAAGAGTTTTTGTGGTGAATTCAAGGGTATGCTAGTAAATACTTAACAATTGGATATTTTATTTTTTTAAAAAAAGTCCCAATTTGTAGTATTGCTGATTTCCTTAGCTAAATATTCTCACCATGGCCAAATTCTAGCTACCAATGTTACGTCGCTGAATGAAAAGTTAGGAAAAGATGCACACAATTGACTTTTACAATCCAGTGAGAGTTGGCTTCACCATAGCACTGAGTGAAGAGATTTAAAATCTTCAAGTCCAATACAATGTATAATGTCGTCTATTAATATAAATACTGAATTTTAAAAAATGTTTTCAAGGGCTGCAAATGAAGACAATAAATATAAGTTTTTTAGTAAGACAGTATTTTTTCCTGAATAATAATATTTCTTTAAATCTTGTCTCAAATGTTGCATCCTTTATTGGTTTGTCCTTTATGGAAATGATTCATTGCATAGTATTAAAGTCCATTATTGAAAAATTATAACTAGATCGTTATTGTGATCAGATCACTTACATATTTCAATCCCAGACCAAGCAATTTATAGCTATAAAGTGATGGTGGAGACCACTCTTACTCAAACTTTGTTCAATTTCATAGAAGCTTGAAAATATGAAAACAGAGTTTTTCCAAGTTAAAATAATATCAGAATATACCAGGGCATCCATTAATGCAGTATGGGGCTTAACAGAGCTACATTTAGTTAATCTGCATTAGAGTGATCTGCACTAGAGTGTACCTTTGTAATTTATCACATTGAATTAACTGAAAGTAGTTACAAGATAATGTATAATGTCTAAAAATAACAACCCACTTTTAGAAAGTAATAATGTAAAACCTATCTAAATAAGCCCTACATCAATAAATATAATAAACTCTTACAAATACAATAAACTCCTGGAATATTTGTAAAGAACTAGACTTTACTCAACATCTTTTCTCTCCTTCTTCCTTATTAACAAAATCTGCATTTGTTGGGAGTGGAAACATGGTCAACTTTGTTGCCATTCCCAACAAATTATGAAGTTCCTCAGAGTCCTTGACTCTTATCTCTACATTTCTCAGCAACAGAGCAAAATAAACTCATATCTTACTCAAATCCAGCTTAAGATAATTTCCTCTGGTATCTGTTACATGCAGCCAAAATCAATCTGTAATTGATATACATACACCTTGATGCTTAGAAGTGGTAGGCTGCAAGTAAAAAACTCTAAAACAAGAAAATAAAATGTAGATACAAGGACTCAGATATGGCACATGACCCTTGATGTGTGGTAGCAAAAAAAGTTTTGTCAAGTTAACAGCTCCTGTACCTTAAAATCAGTCTACATACAAACCAATTATGCAGAGAAAGAGGAAATGGTGGGGAAATTTTAGAATGTTAGTACATGCAAGCACATTCTTGCAGCTCTTCACAAAGTCCTGTAAGAGAGAACCAAAGGAGCTAATCAGTCTGCAAGCAGAGATGTTAAGATATACCATTTTGCTAAGAAAACTGCTGTCTTAGTCTAGTCAGGCTGCTGTAACAAAAGACCATAAGCTGAGTAGTTTTTATAAAAGCAGAAAATTATTTCTCACAATTCTAGAGGCTGGGAATCCCAAGATAAGAGCATCAATAGACTTAGTGTCTGGTGAGGGCCTGTTCCTAGTTTATAGATGGCTCCTTCTCACATGTGAAAGGGTGTGGGGTCTTTCCTGGCCTCTTTTATAAAGACATCAATCCCATTCGTGAGGGCTCTACCTATATAACCTAATCACCTTCCAAAAGCCCCACCTCCTAATACTGTCACCTTGGGGGTTAGAATGTCAACATATAAATTTGAGGGGGACACAAACATTCAGACCATAGCAACTGCCCTCCTAGAAAATCTACATAAACTGAAGTTTTTCTTACTTTGGAGATGTACAAGATCACAAAAGCAGTTGTTCCTGTACTCCAAATAGAATGACTTAAAAATATCAGGCTTAGACTTCCAGTCAGTGACTTCTTAGACCTACCAGAGAACAGTTACAGGAAAAACTGCCACTCCAAATTCGGAGAGACAAGAGATTCCAGAAAGTTACACAAGATCTGGAGCAGAAGTCACTGGAGTATAAGCTGGTAGGAAACTTAAGTGGCAATTTTGATGAATTGAGGGATTTTGAGTGTGAATTAACACGCGAGTCAGGAAAACTCTGAGAGTTTCCTGGGTTTTATTTCCAGGAATCTTACTGGATTCTCAAGGTAAAAATTTTGAAAAAAATTTCACATGGCTCTGGCAGGAGGAAGGAATGAGTAATTATTTTGAAATATGGCTGAGGCATTCTGCATTACCAATACCTACTTTCCCAGGGAAAAGACTACCTGAGCCTTATCACAGCTGGAAGGAAGGCCATTTCTCCCATTCCAGCCCTGCTAGCCTCCCTACTTTACCT